>NC_000002.12:228095678-228398708 GCF_000001405.40 Homo sapiens | reverse complement strand
ATAATGACAAAGATGGTGTTACAACTAATCCCACAGAAACACAAAAGATCCTCAGAAACTATTATGAACACCTTTATGCCCACAAATTAGAAAATCTACAGAAATGGATAAATTCCTAGAGACACACAACTTCCCAAGACTGAACAAGAAAGAAAGTGAAAAGCTGAATAGATGAATAATGAATTCTAAAATTGTATCAGTAATAACCTACTAACCAATAAAAGCCCTGGACTAAATGAACACAAAACTGAATTCTACCAGACATCCAAAGACGAACTGCTACCAAGCCAACTAGAGCTATTCCAAAAATTGAAGAGAGACACCTCCCTAACATTTCATAAAGCCAGCATCATCCTGATACCAAAATCTGGCAGAGACACAGTGAAAAAAGAAAACTGCAGGCCAATTTCCCTGATGAATATAGGTGCAAAAACCCTCAACAAAATGCTAGCAAACCATACCCAGTAAAACATCAAAAAGTTAATTTATCACAATCTACTAGGCTTTATTCCTAGGAAGCAAGGTTGGTTCAACATATGTGATATGGTTTGGAAGTGACCCCACCCAAATCTTATCTTGAGTTGTAGTTCCCATTATTCCCATGTCATGGAAGGTGTTGCAGGAAGTCAGGGACCCTGAACGGAGGGACCTGCTAAAGCCGTGACAGAAGAACATAAATTGTGAAGATTTCATGGACATTTATCACTTCCCCAATCAATACTGTTATAATTTCCTATGCCTGTCTTTACTTTAATCTCTTAATCCCATCATCTTTGTAAACTGAGGATGTTTGTCGCCTCAGGACCCTGCGATGATTGCATTAACTGCACAAATTGTTCATAAAGCATGTGTGTTTGAACAATATGAAATCTGGGCACCTTAAGAACAGGATGACAGTGATTTTCAGGGAATAAGGGAGATAACCTTAAAGTCTGGCTGCCTGTGGGCCGGGCAGGACAGAGCCATATTTCTCTTATTACTGAAAACGGGTAAGAGAAATATCACTGAATTCTTTCCCCAGTAAGGAATATTAATAATTAACAGCCCTGGGAAAAGAGTGCATTTCCAGGGGGGGCCTTTAAAACGGCCACTCTGGGGCTGTCTGCCTTATGCAGTTGCAGATAAGGCATGAAACACGACCTGGCCTCCTGCAGCACCCCCAGGCTTGCTAGGATTAGGAAATTCCAGGCTGGTGAATTCTAGTGAGACTGGTTCTCTGCTCTTGAACCCTGTGAAGATGGTTATCAATGACAATGCATGCACAGTGGGACATGGAAGTTCATTAGTGATTCTAGTTTCACCCTGACCTTGTGATCTTGCCCTGACCTTCTGCCTTGTGATCTTTTGTTGCCCTTGAAGCATGTGATCCCTGTGACACACATCCTATTCATACACTCCCTCCCCTTTGAAAATTGCTAATAAAAACTTGCTGGTTTTGTGGCTCGGGGGGTATCACGGAACCTGCTGACATGTGATGTCTCCCCTGGACACCCAGCTTTAAAATTTCTCTCTTTTGTACTCTTTCCCTTTATTTCTCAGACTGGCCAACACTTAGGGAAAATAGAAAATAACTACGTTTAATATTGGGGGCTGGTTTCCCCCGATAGAGGGATCTGGTGAGAAGTAATTGAATCATGGGGGCAGATCTTTCCCATGCTGTTCTCATGATAGTGAATAAATCTCATGAGATCTGATGGTTTTATAAAGGGGAGTTCCCATGTACACTCTCTTGCCTGCTGCCATGTAAGATGTGACTTTGCTCCTCATTCCCCTTCCACCATGGTTTTGAGGCCTCCTCAGCCATGTGGAACTGTGCATCAATTAAACCTCTTTTCTTTATAAATTACCCAGTCTTGGATACATCTTTATTAGCAGTGTGGGAACAGACTAATACAATAAATTGGTACCAGTAGAGTGGGATGCTGCTGTAAAGATACCCAAAAATGTTGACACAACTTTGGAATTGGGCAACAGGCAGAGGTTGGAACAGTTTAGAGGGCTCACAAGAAGATAGAAAAATGTGGGAAAGTTTGGAACTTTCTAGAGACTTGTTGAATGGCTTTGATCAAAATGCTGATAGTGATATGGACAATAAAGTCCAGGCTGAGGTGGTCTCAGATCAAGATGAGGAACTTGTTGGGAATGGGAGTAAAGGTCACTCTTGCTATGCAAAGAGACTGGCGGCCTTTTGCCCCTCCACTAGAGATCTGTGAAACTTTGAACTTGAGAGAGATGATTTAGGGTTTCTGGCAGAAGAAACCTCTAAGAGGTAAAGTGTTCAAGAAGAAGCAGAGCATAAAAATTTGAAAAATTTGCAGCCTGACAATGCAGTAGAAAAATAAAAATTAGAAAAAAAAAACATTTTATTGGGAGAAATTCAAGGCTGCTACAGAAATTTGCACAGGAGCCAAATGCTAATCGCCAAGACAATGGGAAAAATGTCTCCAGGCCACATCAGAGACTTTCATGGCAGCCCCTCCCATCACAGGCCCAGAGGTCTAGGAGGAAAGAATGATTTCCTGGGCCCCACTGCTGTGTATAGCCTCAGGACTTGGTGCCCTGTGTCCCAGCCACTCCATCCATGGCTAAAAGAGGCCAAGGTACAACTCAGGACATGGCTTCAGAGGATGCAAGCCCCAAGCCTTGGCAGCTTCCATGTGGTGTTGAGCCTGCAGGTGCACAGAAGTCAAGAAGTGAGGTTTGGGAACTTCTGCCTAGATTTCAGAGAATGTATGGAAATGTCTGGATGTCCAGACAGAGGTGTGCTTCAAAAGCAGAGCCCTCACTGAGAACCTCTGCTAGGGCAGTATGGAAGGGAAATGTGGGGTGGGAGCCTCCACAGAGACTCCCTACTGGGGCACTGCCTAGTGGAGCTGTGAGAAGAGGGCCACTGTCCTCCAGACCCCAGAATGGTAGATCCACTGACAGCTTGAACTGTGTGCCTGGAAAAGCCACAGACACTCAATGCCAGACAATGAAAGCAGCCAGGAGGGAGCTGTACCCTGCAAAGCCACAGGGGCAGAGTTGCCCAAGGTCGTGGGAGCCCACATCTTGCATCAGTGTGCCCTGGATGTGAGACATGGAGTCAAAGGAGATCATTTTGGAGCTTTAAGATTTGACTGCCCCACTGGATTTCGGACTTGCATGAGGTCTGTAGACTCTTCATTTTGGCCAATTTATCTCATTTGGAGCAGGTGTAATTTACCCAATGCCTGTATCTCCAGTGTACCTAGGAAGTAACTAACTTGCTTCTGATTTTACAGGCTCATAGGCAGAAATGACTTGCCTTATCTCAGATGAGACTTTGGACTGTAAACTTTTGAGTTAATGCTAAATGAGTTAACACTTTGGGAGACTGTTGGGAAGGCATGATTGGTTTTGAAATGTGAGGACATGAAATTTGGAAGGGGCTGTGGGCTAAATGATATGGTTTGGCTGTATTCTTACCCAAATCTCATCTTGAATTTTAGCTCCCATAATTCCCATGAAAGCTTGCAATTCCAATGTGGCCTTTGTTGTCAACTGGGGACAGCCTTGTCGTTGACTGAGGACAAAGTCCACAGTCCAAAGTCTTACCCGACACAAGGCAAGTCCCTTCTGCCTATAAGCCTGTAAAATTAAAAGCAAGTTAGTTACTTCCTAGATAAAATGGGGATACAAGAATTGGGTAAATACATCCATTCCAAATGAGAGGGACCCAGTGGGAGGTAATTGAATCATGGTGGTGGGTCTTTCCCATGCTCTTCTTGTGATAGTGAATAAGTCTCATGAGATCTGATGGTTTTATAAAGGTGAGTTTCCCTGCACATGCTCTCTTGCCTGACACCACGTAATATGTGACTTTGCTCTGCATTCTCCTTCTGCCATGATTGTGAGGCCTCCCCATCCATGTGGAACTGTGAGTCAATTAAACCTCTGTCCTTTATAAATTACCCAGTCTCAGGTATGTCTTTATTAGCAGTGTGAGAACAGACTAATACAATAAGCAAATTGATAAATGTGATTTATCACATGAACAGAATTAAAAACAAAAACTATATGATCATCTCAATAGATCAGAAAAACTTTTGACAAAATCCAGCATCCCTTCATAATAAAAGCCCTTAACAAATTAGGCATCAAAGGAACTTGCCTCAAAATAGAGCTGTGTATGTCAAGCCCACAGCCAACATTATTCTGAATGGCTAAAAACAGGAACCATTCCCCTTGAGAACTGGAACAAGACAAGTATTCCCACTCTTAGCACTCCTATTCAATATAGTACTGTAAGTCCAAGCCAGAACAATCAGGCAAGAGAAAGAAATAAACGACATTTAAATAAGACAAGGAGAAGTCAAACTACCTCTCTTGACTAATAATATAATCCTATACCTAGAAAGTCCTGAAAACTCCATCAAACAGCTCTTAGAGCTGATAAGCAACTTCAATAAAGTTTTAGGATACAAAATCAATATACAAAAATCAATAGCATTTATATACATTAATAAGGTTCTAGTTGAGAGCAAAATCAAGAAGATAATTCCATTTACAATGGCCATAAACAAAAAAGTGAAATATCTAGGAATACATCGAACCAAGGAGGTGAAAGATCTCTGCAAGAAGAACTCAAAAATGATTGCTGAAAGAAATTAGAAATGACACAAATAAGTGGAAAAACATTCTATGTTCATGGATTAGAAAAATCAATATTATTAAAATGACCATACTGCCCAAAGCAATCTACAAATTCAATGTTATTCCTACCAAAGTACAAATATCATTTTTCACAGAACTATAAATTACTATTCTAAAATTTACTTGGAACCAAAAAGGAGCCCAGATAGCCAAAGCAATCCTAAGCAAAAAGAACAATCCACAGGCATCACAATTTCTGACTTCAAACTATACCACAAGGCTACAGTAACTAAAATAGCATGGTACTGGTACAAAAATAGATATATAAACCAATGGAATACATTGGAGAACTCAGAAATAAAGCCTCACATCTACAAGCAATTATAACACTTATAGTCTGATCTTCAGCAAACTCAACAAAAATTATCAATGGGGAAAAGACTCCCTATTCAATAAATGGTGCTGGTGACACTGGCTATCCATATGTGGAACAATGAAACTAGACTCCTACCTATCACCATATACAAAAATTAACTGAAGAAGTATTAAAGACTTCAAGGTAGACCTCAAAATACAAAAATCCTAGAAGAAAACCTAGGATATATCCTTCTTGATATCAGACTTGACAAATAATTTATGGCTGAGTCCTCATAAGTAATCTCAATACAAATAAGAATTATTATTTAACCCAGCAATTCCTTTCCTGGGTATATATTTAATATCTAAAAGTAAATAAATTATTCTACCAGAAGGACACATGCACCCAAATGGTCACTGCAGCAATGTTCCTAAAAACAAAAACATGGAATCAACCAAGGTGCCCATCAATGGTGGATTGGATAAAGAAAGTGTAGTACATATATACCATGGAATACTCTTTAGTTATAAAAAAAAAACATCATGTCCTCTGCAGCATTTTGGTTGCAGCTGGAGCCCATTATCCTAAGGAAAGTAATGCAGAAACAGAAAACCAAATGCTGCATGTTCTCACTTACAAGCGGGAGCTAAACACTGGGTACACATAGACATAAAGATCGGAACAACAGATACTTGGGACTACTAGAAGGGGAGAGAGGAAGGGGAGAAAGGGCTGAAAAACTACCTCTGGGTACTATGCTCATTATTCACATGAAGGGTTTAGTCACATTCCAAACCTCAGCATCATAAAATATACCTTTGTAACAAACCTGCATATGACCCCCTGATTCAGTAGTAAAAGTTCAAAAAGAAAAAAAGGATAAAACACAAAAATATATTCATTACACCTATGAAATCTATTTTATCTAAGAAATCAAAGTAACTGGAAAAACATATCATTTTGTGCATATTATAATACATGAAATATTCAATAATTGTGTACTTCTACAACCAACCATGATGCAGTAGATTGTGCATGACAAATTATTTGGCCAAGAACAAACAGAAAATATTGGACAACACACACACACAAAATATCTATTTGAAGTCACTGGAGAGCTGATGAGGCAACCCATACTTAAGCAAGCAAGATCTAGGAAGAAAAAGAATAGCATAGAAGTTAACTGATATTCTGCAAGTTGTTTTTCCATCTGTATTTTGGAAGGTTGTTGATTTAGGGAAATAACTGAGAAATATTATTGATGTCTATGTTTATGAGGTAGAAAGGAGAGCACAACTTTTGAAAATCTCAAGGGGATCAAGATGATAAAAGTGACATTTGAGGTTGCCTATGCAGTCAGATTGAGGGGGCAAATCATAGAAATAAGGGAGACACAGAGAAGAGAGTTAAATGCTGTGTTTTTCAGCCTTATATAATTTGCTAAGTTCTTAAGTTGAGCATAACGAAAAAAATGGGATTGTCAGCAGAAAGCTGCTAAATATTAAAACATATTTTTAAGTGGTATAGTTTTGAGAAGACAAAAAAATTACAGTTAGAACCCAACAAAAAGTGTCTCTAGTAGACATCCTAGGTCTCAGCTAAGTCCTATGGAAAGCTTCATTCCTAGTAGATGAGATTAAACTGATGTACACTAAACCTTACTAAAAAACTGAAACCCTGTTTCAAGGCAGCTTCATTCTTGGTTGCATTAAGGTGATCTATTTGCTTTCAAGTTGCCTACCTGGAGATAGGGTAAACATTTTATGAAAAAGATATCCAGAGTCTCTCAATTTTTATTAAAATGTCCAGAATTTCAATAAAACAAACAAATACCCATAGTTGATTCATTTGAGATGATCAGATGCTGACTTTAGAATAATGGTGATTAATAAGTCTGATAAATAGACAAAAAAGTGAAGAATTTTATTAGAAAACTACAATTTATTTTTTTTAAATAATCAGAAATTCTAAAACTATAAAATAAATGTAATAATTGAAATTAGGAACCCAATAGGTAGACAACACAGATTGGGCTTAACAGAAATCAAGATCAGTGAAGTAAAAAAAAAGATTAATAGAAAATATCTATACTAATGGATAGTGAGCAAAGAAGAATAAAAAATAGAGAAAACAACAAGACAGTCTAGGTGAAAAGTTGTAATATACATGTAATAAGATTCCCAGAAAGAGAGAACAAGGAAGAAGCAATATTTGAAGAGCTAATGGCTAAAAATATTTTCCAACTGGCACGTGCACACACACACACACACACACACACACACACACACACACACACACACACACAGAGCCTATTATTGTAAAACTGCTGAAAAGAAAAGGCAGAGGAGAGTCACTTCCAAGATGGCCGAATAGTAACAGCTCCGGTCTGCAGTGGCTCCCAGTGAGACTGATGCAGAAGAGGGGTGATTTCTGCATTTCCAACTGAGGTACCTGGTTTATCTCATTGGGACTGGTTGGATAGTGGGTGCAGCCCATGGAGGGCAAGCTGAAGCAGGGGGGGTCATCACCTCACCCAGAAAGTGCAAGAGGTTGGGGAATTTCTCTTTCCTAGCCAAAGGAAGCCATGACAGACTGTACCTGGAGAAATGGGTACACTCCTGACCAAACACTGCACTTTTCCCATGGTCTCAGCAACTGGCAGACCAGGAGATACCCTCCCATGTCTGGCTTGGCGGGTCCCACACCCATAGAGCCTTGCTTACTGCTAGCACAGCAGTCTGAGATCCACCTGGGATGCGGGAGCTTGGCGGGGGGAGGGGTGTCCACCATTACTGAGGCTTGAGTAGGTCACAGTGTAAACAAAGCAGCAGGGAAGCACAAACTGGGTGGAGCCCATCACAGGTCAGCTCCACCTCTGAGGGCAGGGCATAGCAGAAAAAAAGGCAGCAGACGGTTTCTGCAGACTTAAACATCCCTGTGTGACAGCTCTGAAGAGAGCAGTGGTTCTCCCAACACAGTGTTCAAGCTCTGAGAACAGACAGACTGCCTCCTCAAGCGGGTCCTTGACCCCCGTGTAGCCTGACTGGGAAACACCTCCTAGTAGGGGCCAACAGACACCTCAAACAGGTGGGTGCTCCTCTGGGACAAAGCTTCCAGAAGAAAGATCAGGCAGCAATATTTGCTGTTCTGCAGCCTCCGCTGGTGATACCCAGGCAAACAGGGTCTGGAGTGGACCTCCAGCAAACTCCAACAGACCTGCAGCTGAGGGGTCTGACTCTTAGAAGGAAAACTAACAAATGGAAAGGAATAGCATCAACATCAACAAAAAGGACATCGACACCAAAACCCCATCTGTAGGTCACCAACATCAAAGAACAAAGGTAGATAAAACCACAAAGATGGGGAGAAACCAGAGCAGAAAAGCTGAAAATTCCAAAAACAGAGTGCCTCTTCTCTTCCAAAGGATCGCAGCTCCTTGCCAACAAGGGAACAAAATTGGATGGAGAATGAGTTTGACGAGTTGACAGAAGTAGGCTTCAGAAGGTCCATAATAACAAACTTCTCCAAGCTAAAGGAGCGTGTTCTAACCCATCGCAAGGAAGCTAAAAACCTTGAAAAAAGGTTAGATGAATAGCTAACTAGAATAAACAGTGTAGAGAAGACCTTAAATGACCTGATGGAGCTGAAAACCACGGCCCGAGAACTTCGTGATGCATGCACAAGCTTCAATAGCCAATTCAATCAAGTGGAAGAAACGATATCAGTGATTGAAGATCAAATTAATGAAATAAAGTGAGAAGACAAGATTAGAGAAAAAAGAGTGAAAGGAAACGAACAATACAATTAAATCTCCTGGAATTAACACTGAGACAGCAGTAGTTTACTTTTAAAATAATTAAACATTTATTAAGATGGCACGTAAAGTAAATGACATTTGTATTAATTTTAAATGTCAATTTAATATCTAATTCAATGTGAGAAATACATGCATTTCCCACTGAATTCAATTTTATAAATTTTTTACTGTTCAAAAGAAACTCTTCCTAGAGTCAGCCTCAAATGGACTTAACTTTTTTATTTCTTGCTACAAACAGCTTTCTTCAATGTCGCGGTATTTCTATTACTATCTTGATTTTCCTGAGAATATCCTCTGGCACTCAGCACCGTTCTGCCCTTCTAAGTTGGCTCTTGTTCTACAGAAGCTGGAAGCCTGGAAACTACCTTTTCTAAACTTTCATGCCAGCAGTCTTGTGGTTTGGATTATGCTGGGAGGGGTATTAGTGGAGGATTGGGAATCGGGAGGGAAGAAGGAGCTTTTGCACTCTTGAGATGTTGACAGGCAGTAGTAGACTTGGAAAGTCCTGAGTTTTGCTGTGCCTTCTGGGCATTCTCTTAAGAATACCTGTTTCACTGTTGTAGGAGCTGAGATGATCAGCTGCAGTTTCTTGTGATCCCTGAAACATCCTGATTTCCTGAAGCTAGAAGTACTGCTCCCCAGTGCTTCCCAAGGGTTTAAAATCATCTAATTCCATACTTAACTGCCATTCTGCCTAAAATATCTAGGATAGTTTCTGTTTTCTCTTTTCACTGATCCTCTGATGATACACCTTCCAAACTCTTTTTCTAACCCGAATAGTTTTTCTTTTCTTAAATTGAAACACACTTGATGTTTTTATGCCTTGATTTCCCTTCATAATACACTGAAATTGGATTCACTGTTGGTTGGATATATGTCAGTATTTTGGCTAATTTTGTGTGTTTATTCCTTAAAAATGTACAAGAAAATTGCTTTAACTCGGTACAATGAGGATAGTACCAAATAATATTACTTGTTTAGATTTAAAAATATTTCTGTTAATAAGGTGCACTCTATAATCTCATTTAATTCTCACAACAGCTAGATAAGTTGAAGCTATTATATTGGCATTTGACAAATGTGAAAGTCAAAAAAAATAAAGACATTATGAATTAGTTAAGTTTATGTATATCCCTGTTCAAAAGCATGTGTTATTTCTAACACAGAATAACAACTTTTTAAACATTAATTAAAAGACGGAGGAATTCCTCTTCCTTGTCTTATATCCACAAGCTACCTTGTGATTTTCACAATCTAGTATTGCCTGAAATTAGGAAGTTGGATAAAAAATTCCCAGCTGTGATATGAGCAAGTTTATTTGTATATTGAATGACAACAGTCAAGGTCATAATGACAATAATAATAACATCACTAAGTAGTTTGAAGATTATTATTTACTAAACCATGAAACACTTGTATATAATTTTATTTTCCTATAAATCAGTCTTTCTGTGATTATGAAATAATATGCCACATTAGCAGTGAAGCGAGAAAGGCATATAAACAAACACAAACAAAGACTTAAGAATGGACAATTTCCCCTCAAGTTGCCCATGAAGAACAGAACGCCAGAGCTCACATATTTCCTAGTAGCACCTAATTCTCTAAAAAACAAATCACCATGCATCCTGCCCAGATAGAATGTATCATTGCCAGCTTTGTATCAGCCTCATTAGTATGTAAACATAGGTTCCTATAAATCGTTGAGTGCAGCTTTTGAACTTTTACCGGAGAGAGTTTAGTACTTATGGTTATAGCCTGTATTTAGTCCTTGGTTCAATTCCTACCTCTGCCACTTAGTCATGTAAACCTTAGCAAGTTCCACAATGTCTCTAAGCCTTCATTTTCCCATCAATAAATTACCAGTACTGAACTCAGAAGTCTGTGCTTATGCTTAAATGATATAATGTGCATAAGGAACTAAGCAAGTTTCCAGGAACAAATGTGTTTTCAATGTCAGTGATTAATACTTCTGGTTTCCTAAGACACAGGGTTGGAGGGGGAGGAAAAAGGCAAGCCGACGGCATGCATCAATGCATCATTTAGTGTAAAACGGTCATCAAGAGAGAAATTTTTAAAAATTACCCTCAAACTCTACCCTGCTTTTGGTAACAAATATTTCATGTCCTATGATATAATCTAATAATCATACTCACTCATTGCTTTCCCTCCAGTACAAGGAACACAAAATGTGTGTCACACTGAAGTTCAGTTTCTTTCCAATGCTGTGGTTTGCCAGTGGCTCACCCACAGAGCATATGGCCCACAGACATTTTCTTCTACATGCTGCACTTCAATCTTCCCTCCAAGGGGATCCTTTTTCTTCTAGGGCTGATGCGCAAAGTCTCAGGATACAAAATCAATGTGCAAAAATCACAAGCATTCTTATACACCAATAACAGACAAACAGACAGCCAAATCATGAGTGAACTCCCATTCACAATTGCTTCAAACAGAATAAAATACCTAGGAATCCAACTTACAAGGGACGTGAAGGACTTCTTCAAAGAGAACTACAAACCACTGCTCAATGAAATAAAATAGGATACAAACAAATGGAAGAACATTCCATGCTCATGGATAGGAAGAATCAATATCATGAAAATGGCCATACTGCCCAAGGTAATTTATAGATTCAATGCAATCCCCATCAAGCTACCAATGACTTTCTTCACAGAATTGGAAAAAACTACTTTAAAGTTCATATGGAACCAAAAAAGAGCCCGCATCGCCAAGTCAATCCTAAGCACAAAGAACAAAGCTGGAGGCATCATGCTACCTGACTTCAAACTATACTACAAGGCTACAGTAACCAAAATAGCATGGTACTTGTACCAAAACAGAGATATAGACCAATGGAACAGAACAGAGCCCTCAAAAATAATGCTGCATATCTACAACCATCTGATCTTTGACAAACCTGACCAAAACAAGAAATGGGGAAAAGATTCCCTATTTAATAAATGGTGCTGGGAAAACTGGCCAGCCATATGTGGAAAACTGGCCAGCCATATGTAGAAAGCTGAAACTGGATCCCTTCCTTACACCTTATACAAAAATTAATTCAAGATGGATTAAAGACTTAAACATTAGACCTAAAACCATAAAAACCCTAGAAGAAAACCTAGGCAATACCATTCAGGACTTAGGCATGGGCAAGAACTTCATGTCTAAAACACCAAAAGCAATGACAACAAAAGACAAAATTGACAAATGGGATCTAATTAAACTAAAGAGCTTCTGCACAGCAAAAGAAACTACCATCAGAGCGAACAGGCAACCTACAGAATGGGAGAAAATTTTTGCAATCTACTCACCTGACAAAGGGCTAATATCCGGAATCTACAAAGAACTCAAACAAATTTACAAGAAAAAAACAAACAACCCCATCAAAAAGTGGGCAAAGGCTATGAACAGACACTTCTCAAAAGAAGACATTTATGCAGCCAAAAGACACATGAAAAAATGCTCATCATCACTGGCCATCAGAGAAATGCAAATCAAAACCACAATGAGATAACATCTCACACCAGTTAGAATGGCGATCATTAAAAAGTCAGGAAACAACAGGTGCTGGAGGGGATGTGGAGAAATAGGAACACTTTTACACTGTTGGTGGGTCTGTAAACTAGTTCAACCATTGTGGAAGTCAGTGCGGCAATTCCTCAGGGATCTAGAACTAGAAATACCATTTGACCCAGCAATCCCATTACTAGGTATATACTCAAAGGATTATAAAACATGCTGCTATAAAGACACATGCACACGTATGTTTATTGCAGCACTATTCACAATAGCAAAGACTTGGAACCAACCCAAATGTCCAACAGTGATAGACTGGATTAAGAAAATGTGGCACATATACACCATGGAATACTATGCAGCCATAAAAAATGATGAGTTCATGTCCTTTGTAGGGACATGGATGAAGCTGGAAACCATCATTCTCAGCAAACTATTGCAAGGACAAAAAACCAAACACCGCATGTTGTCACTCGTAGGTGGGAATTGAACAATGAGAACACTTGGACACAGGAAGGGGAACATCACACACTGGGGCCTGTTGTGGGGTGGGGGTAGGGGGTAGGGATAGCACTGGGAGATATACCTAATGTTAAATGAGGAGTTAATGGGTGAAGCACACCAACATGGCACATGTACTCATATGTAACAAACCTGCACGTTGTACACATGTACCCTAAAACTTAAAGTATAATTTTTTTAAAAAAGACTAAAAAATTGTGATTGTGGTGTGTTTTATATGAAAACTGTATCATTGTGAGTTTGCCAAAAATTTACACTGTATCACTCCGGCTCTCATAGCCAACATCATCCCTTATATAGATACCTTGTTCCTGGTTTAATTGAACAAACATTCACTTGGCATCTCCTGAGTTTCAGGACTCATGCTAGTTCCAAAGATGAATGAGGCATCATCATTGGCCTCAGTTATGTATTTATATGTAATTCGAAGAGATAGACCAGTAACACAGCACTAAAAACCACATTATAAGCCACTATACAAAAAGCCCTAAACAAAGATAACAAACTCGTATGCAATAAACCAGCACTATTGTTCATCTGTGACTATGGGTCCAAGCTTTTCCCTGGTGGAAACCAGCCCATATGTGTGAGAACTGAAGTTATGGTCTTGGTTTTTATCAGAACTATGCTCCAGGTAACTACATCCATGAAACTGAGCTCTCTGGCAACTTAATTTATTCAGAGCACAGTTGAAATACTGAAAAGCAATTCTTTAAACTTCTGAACAAACAAAATAGCTGTCACAACTTGCATGCACTGAAGTTCACATATTTTACTGATAATATTTACCCTGAGACCCTCAAATGAGAAAGCATTCATTTTTATCAGCTGCAAACCTCACAGCACATCTTAGAGTCATCGATTAGCATGTTTTCAGACAGAATAGTGAAGGTAGGCACAGTCTATACATAAAATTATAATCTAAAAATGCAACTGAGATAAGGGCCGTTCTATGGACCCATTGAGAGCATGCGATTTAAAGAGAAAAAAAAATGACCTTTATAGCAAGAGAAACATATGTTTTAACTAACATAGAAACATCACAGATTCTATGGAAGGAAGGACTGAGGAGTGTGGCTTTGTTTGGTGGGGGAAACTACCCCCTACAAAGGAGAAGCTTGTTGATTATATTATTTAGAGAACTTGTGGTCTGATAACTGATATTTCACTTGCCTCGTTGCTATGTTTCCTCTAATCTTGTTAAATTGTTGCCTTACCAGCACTAATGTTAAGAAGCATTCTCCCAAGACATCTCCTTTCCCTCTGCTCATCCCACCCTCCCCACTGTACTTCATTTGAAGGCCAACTCTGCCATATTCTTGCTGTTTCTCTTTGGGAAGCCACTTACTTCTTCTCAGATTAAATTTCACCATATGTAGAATGAAAATAATAAAATTAACCTTGCAGAGTAATGTTGAAGATGAGAAATCATATATGCAAAAGTCCATCACAGTACCTGGTACACAGAATGAGTGGGTGAATAAAATAAATTAAATATCTAAATAGCAAGGTTTCTGAGCATGAGCTTTCATTTAATGGAAAATATTAAACATCGCAGCCTTCCTAAATATGCATTTAGTTAATGCATTTAACTATTAAAATAGTAGAAATATATCCTGTTGAACATGTAACTTTTATGTTTAAGGTAATCAGAGATCTTCAAATAAAGGAATTCATTGTTACCTTCCACTAATATAATATACAACATTTCTAAAAAAATGGACAATATCTTGACTTTTTCAATACCTTCAAATCTAAGTCTGAGTATTTCTAGAATAACATTTTTTCATATGCACAAATTGAAGGAAAAGGAGATCAACAATTTGTTGTAGCTGTTCTAAATTCAACAACAGGATATTTGGCTTGATTTGTTTTATTATCTCAACTCTACTGACTGTTACGCATATCAAAGGCCTTAATTACAGGGATGAAAGACATGATTCACAGTTGATAAGAAGGAAAATCATTACAGTCGCACAAGCAACCTCCTGCTTCCCTAAGCAAGGATATGGTCTGATTGAGGAACATTGCACTGTAATTATGGTGTCCTTTTAGGCATAATTGTAACAGTAAAAAGAAAAAAAAAATGCATCCTTTGACAACAGTCTGCTTTTTGTTCATGAGATAAATTGGCTCATTTGTTCAGCAACTAATATATCCTTTGTGCTTCATCTTGATTTCCCAGATGATCAAGAACTCAACAAAATTTGCAGTTAATTATTTCTATGTTACTTAGAAAACATTGAGAAAGAGTGAATTTTTTAAAGTTATTTTGGAAGCTGTTCCAGTTGAGAAGCTTTCAGGACTGTTAACTACCATTCACATGGTAAGAGAAGAATAAACTTTCATTCTGAAGTAGAATATATTCTAGGTTAGGGACACATTTATAATATCAGTAATGGTAAGGTATGACAAGTGGAACTTAGCTGATTGGTTTTCCAGGTTAGGGACATTCTTACTGGAATATCATTAATGACAGCCAATAACTTGTCTCCTCAATTTAAACAGTGTAGACAGAAATTTCTAAGTGCCTGATGACTGTTATAATAAACTTTCTAATACATATAAGATTTTTCCCCCTTAATGATAAAAATAAAATTCCAAATTTATTCCCTAGGAGTTCTCTAGGAAACGGCTCATACCTGTGACATAAAGCATAAGGTGTGCTGTGTCCACAGGGATTTCTCCTTCCAAAATCTCAAGTAATGTCTTAAAAACTACCCTTAGCCATGTCGGTTAATAGTTAACTAAAATCACATGCCTTTTCCCTTGTTTTCATTTATAAATTGCTTACTGAGTACAATCAGAAAGAAATTATAAGACTGTACTCTTATTACTACAGGAAAACGTAGGATTTAAAATACTCATCACATTGTGGTTTTAACACAGCTCTCACCACCATTCTGCAAAATGTGCGCGCATACACACACACACACACACACACACACACTGCCCTGTGTCTGCAGTACCTTTCAGGTGGAGGAAGGTTGAAGTCACTTCTATTCACTATTAAGTCAGTTCTTCTTCACCTTAATAATTAGCTTTCAGTATCCTGGAAGACCCAGGTATATTTTGGAATTTCAATTATGTATAACCATATGGGTTATATATAGATTTTTTTCCTACAAATTTCTATTTTTTCACTTCCTCATTACCAACCTAAAAAATCTCTCCTTTAGGAATAAAATGTTGCTTATTAGGTGTCAGTCCAAAAGTTGAACATTCACATATTTTCCAAGATGGCTGTGAAAAAAATTTATTTTTTTCAAGTATGAGGGAATTCATATTTTAATTATTACAGAATCTCTGGAAATCAGTATTTTATCTTAAAGTTTGAAAAGTTAGGCTTAATATATAATAGTATGTTTAAATAACAAATTAGAAATGAAAATTTGTTTTAAAACTGCTCAATTAGCAACATCTATGAACATCTCTCTTCAGGAGTAAAACAATCTCTAATCCTTTTGTTGAATTTCTTTGTCATTGGCTAATATGAGGGCATTGTTATTTTTAGTAAGAAAATTTATTTTATTCACATTTATTATGATAGCTGATGTGATGTTATAACTCTTTTTGCATATTTTTCACTTCCCTGATTGATATCCATGTCTATTAATTTGGTTCTGGTATTTTCTGTATTTTGCCATATTGGCAGATGAAAACCATTTTATTTGGACACAGAGGGTATTTAATAAGTCATGATGATTCACATCAAATGTTACAAGTTTTTTCATTTTGTTTTCTTACAGTTCAGCACTGTCATGTTTAAAAAATTAAATGTTATTTTTAATTGACAAATAATAATTATATATTTATGGGGTACAATGTGATGTTTATAGCAACCTGAAGGTTTCCCAACAAGGTAAGAATAAAACTGAGCTCCTTAGCCTGACGTACAAAGCCCTGTGGGTCTTTCCAGTGGACTTCTCTCCATTCATCTTCTGTCATGATCCCCAACCCCCACTCTGCTCTAGCCACACTGACCTCCTTTCTGCATTTTAATCTAAGCACTTTCTTCCCGTCCTTCGCAATATAAAATTTTCCCTGCTTGTTTCAGTGTAATCATTCATTAATATTTGTTGGACATATGAATGAATAAGTACTAACAGAGTTTAAGGAATTGAAATTCAAGCTGGTCATAGGGCTTGGTGTCAACTCTTTTAACTTTCTGCTGGCTTCTTAATATAACTGGAAAAGGAGGCTGTCCTAAAAAGATTTGGTTTATGTTAAGTTCACTTTTATTGCGGCTGTTCATTGATGGGTTGATAACATACTAAATACATAGCCTATCTTTCTGCAATATTGTATATTATACCAAAACAAAAAACTCATTGAAAATTAGTCCTAATATCTTTACAGGAAAGACCTCAAGGAAATCCATGGCCCAAATACATGTAGTGACCATAAGCCATTTCCTAGAATGACTGTTTGAACCCTATTTAAACTGTAAACATAGTGTTGATTATCCCCATGACCTGGTGAAATATCCCAGAAACACTGGCATTTTGGATTTCAAACAATATGATCAGACTTGTCATGTCTGAAAGTGTCTCAAATATTATTTTTCAGCCCATGAATCCAGATTCATCTTTGTACAAAATATTCTTGCATAGACAGATAGAAGATATTTAACAAGTACAAACAGAGGAAACCCACTTAAATTTGAATTTGAATTTCAGATAAACAACACATTTTTTAGTATACATATGTTTTATGCAATATTTGCAACATACTTATGCTAAAAAAATTTTGTTCTTTAACGGCAGTTTCAATTTGACTGGAAGTCCTGTATTTTATCTGTCAACCCTGACTAGGGCCTACTACTGAGTGATGTCTCCTCCAATTGGTATACATACAATACCTGTCCTATGTACTAAGCACAAAAGGTTAGCATCTGCTACCTGCTGCCTTAGACTTTCCAAATGCAAAATATTCACTGATTGCCTCGCACTGTAGGTCTTAATAGGGACTTCGACCCTAGTTTAGTAAGGAATTGAGCCAGAGATGTGAAAATATAAATTTCTTCATTCCACATCCATGTCTGTTTCCATTGGCAGCACATTTTCTTTTCCTCAAAATCTTCTGAGAGTCCATTAAAAATTGCTTGGTTACATCATTCATCTAACAAACTGCTGTTTAGTCAGTTATTCAGTCAAAACTCCAAAGTGTTTTAAGATGATAGCATTAGTGGGAAATGGTTTATGTTTCCCAAATACTATAAAGTATCCAATAAACCTAGATGGGACATAAAATGTGGCCTCACTAGGGAGCTATCTCCTTTATGTGCAGGGTGAGGTCAACATTTTCACTTAGCAGGCAGAATTTTTCATCCACTGGGGAAACATGATTATTATAATATATGCTGTATTAGTCCATTTTCACACTGCTATGAAGAAATACCTGAGGCTGGGTAATTTATAAAGAAAAGAGGTTTAATTGGTTCACAGTTCCACATGGCTGGGGAGGCCTCAGAAAACTTGCAATCATGGTAGAAGATGAAGAGGTAGCAGGCACCTTCTTCACAAGGTGGCAGGAGAGAAAGGGCATGTAAAGAAAGAACTGTCAAACACTTATAAAACCATCAGATCTTGTGAGAACTCACTCACTATCATCAGAACAGCATGGGGGAAACTGTCCCCATGATCCAATTACCTCCCACCAGATCCCTCCCTCGACATGTGGGGATTATGGGGATTACAACTCAAGATGAGATTTGAGTGGGGACACTGAGCCAAACCATATCATATGCTATGTTTATTTTTAATGATTGTGTTCCTAGTTTGTAAACCCAATTTTCTTTTTCTGATAGGCATTTAGAGTGGGAAAAGAAGACATAAAAAGTGAACTTTTCAGATTTTTGCTAATAAGCGTATAAATGTATCTATCTGTATACCTATCTGTCTTCATATCTTCTATTTATAACAGAGGGAAACACAGGCTTATGCTTAGCCCCTACCTGTCTTATGGGGAAGTTTAAGCAAATGAGTATCTGTTCTCTCTTTTGCATAGATCTTCTCTCAACTGAATCTTTCACATTGGCTACTAAACATGTTAATCACTTCCCATAAAATAATTCTTCCCAGATCCTAAACCACCCATAGCTACTTCCTTTTATTCCTTTTCTTTACTCTACTTTCTTTTATTCATTCATAGCTGAACTTGTCAAGGTTTTTCATAGTCACTCCATTCTGACTTCACTCCCACTGCACTCTATACCTGCTGAACTATTTATTACTTCTGCCTTTACCATTCATACAACCAGCTCTCTTCAAGATTATTATATTACACATTGTGTAGATAAATCCTTAGCCTCTGTAGTAAGCAGAGTTATGACGACAAAAGATGTCCACGTCCTAGTCCCTAGGACCTGTGACTATGTTATGTTATATGGAAAAGGGGAGTTAAGATAACATAAAATTAAGTTTGCTAATCAGATGATCTTAAAATCTTGTATTATCCAGGAGGGCCCAATGTAATGACAAAGGGCCTCAAAAGTGGAAGAAGGAGGTGCAGGAGAAAGAAGCAGAGAGATGGAAGGATGAAAAGAACTTGACCTGATGTTGCTGGCTTTGAAGATGGAGGAAGAGGCCTTGAGCCAAGAATGCCAGTAGCCTGTAGAAGCTGGAGAAAGCAAAGGAATCAGTTCTACCTAGCGCTTCTAGAAAGAAATGCAGCCTACCAATGTGATTTTACTTGGTGAGATCTGTGCCAGATTTTTGACTGTCAGAACTGGGAGATAATAAACTTATGTTTTGTTAGAGCACCGAATTGGTAGTAATTTGTTACAGCAGCATTAGGAACTAATCCAAGTTCCTTGATCTAACACTCCCCTGGCTTTGCCCCAACTTCTCAGGAATCCCTATCTTTCCAGGCTTTTCCTCTTCTCTGAGGTATTTACAGCCTCATGCTCTGTGCTAAATGCACTTTCTACTTACTCTGTGTTAACCTCACCCAGGGCTCTAATCAGCACTTCTATACAGATAACTCACACATTTTCATTCCTAGCCCATACCTCTTGTTGAGTTCTAGGTCTATAAATATAACCGCTTGGCTGACAGCTGACAGCTCTTCTCAGATGGATCACAGTCACTTCAAAACAAATCAGGCCAAAAAAAAATTAAATCATAATCTTTTTTCCCTTTTAACTTGATCCTCTTCTGGTATGTTCTATCATCTCAGTAAATGGAACCATCGTCCATCTAGTCATATAAACCAGACATTTAGGAGTCATCTTCAACACTTCTTCTTTATCTCTTATATCAAATCACTATCTCACATGAATTTTACTTACTAAATTATTGCCAAAATCCATCTATCCTCTTCTTTATAATCTCCATTGGCACCATTCTGGCTGTATTGGTTTTCTATTGCTGTATAACAAATCAACACAAACTCAGCCGCTTAAAACAACACCCATAATATTAGGTCACAGTGCTGAAGATTAGAAGTTTAGCAGGGTGTGGCTAGGTTCTCTGCTCAGGCTGAAATCAAAGTGTCAGCCAGCTGCATTGTCATCTGGAGCTTGGAGTCCCTTTACAAGATCATTCCTGTTATTGCTAGAATTTAGCTTCTTGCAGTTTTAGCATCAAAGTCCCCATTTCCTTGCTGGCTGTCAGCGGAGGACTGCTCCTTGCTTCTTGAGGCCACCTGTGCACATTCTTCATCACGGAGTACCCTCAAACTTCAAGTCAGCAATGGTGCAGTGAATTTTTCTTCTGCTCGCAATCTCTCTGACTTCTCCTCCCACAACCAGCTGGAGAAAGCTCTCTAAGCAATTTTCAGGACTCAAGTGATTAGAGCCAGACACATCCAGCTAATTTTCCTACCTTAAGGTCAACTGTGCGTATAACATAACATAATCAGTGGTACAATATCTAATATTCATAGATTCTAAAGATTAGGGTGGGCTATCTTAGGGGGCTATTTTTGAAATCTCACCTACAACATTGGCACACGCTATCATCATCACTCTCTGTCCTATGAATTCACTTCCTAATTCATCCACCCAAATCCACTTTTCTCCCCCTGGCAGCCAGAGTGATCATCTCAAAACACACTCCCGATAATTTTAACCAGGTGCTTCCTTTTATTGCTCTTAGCCATAGTCGTGGCCTAGAGCCGTGCTGCCTGATGTGCCTTCTGCAGCCTGGTTTCCTGGACTGTTAATGCTCTGCAGGGAGATCAGAACAGAAACCAAGAGCAAGCGTCTAGACATTTTGATAGTGATTTCACAGAGTAGTTTTATGTCTATAAACTAAACATATACTTGGAGCTTGTATTTTATGTACTTTAAAATTTGTTTGGTTTTTAGTGACGTATTATTTACCTTATTTTATGTAAGTATTGTGCCAAGAAAATTGAAACAAACAAAACTGATTCTCCAGCACTGAGAAATGGGGAAGCGTGGGGCCAGTGAGCTCTGCACAGCCTGGTCTCTACTTCTCCAGCTTCATCTCATGCCATGCAGCTTCTCACTCTCTACCTCTGGCTATAGTGGTGTTCTGTAGTCCCTTTGGCATGCCATGTTTCTTGTGCCTTGCTGACTGCTCTCACTAGGTTACAATCTCCCCATTATATTTTCTCAGATACCTCCAATATGTACTTATCACAGTCTCAATATTTCTTATTTATAAATATGCAAATATTGTTAATGTCTTCATTCCTCCTAAAATGTAAGTTCTGTGGTGTCAGAGAGCTTACCTTCCACCTAAGTGGCACACACCCCGCTCCCTGCACAGTGCCTGACACATTACTGGTGCTCAACAAATGCATACAGAAAAAGAGGATGAATAAATACACAAAGGTATTCCATATTATTCAAATTCAAATAGCGCCTCAGCCAAGTATTACCTGTTTGATCTTAATCATGTTAGTTAAATCTGCTGTTTCATTGTTATTATAGGTAAGATGGAAATAATATTGACAGCTTCACAAGACTGATATGAAAATTAAAGCATGTGCAAAGGCTTTCTTTGAAAACTGCAAGAGGCTTTTAAGATGCAATTAATGAGTTGGTGTAAATTATGTTTCTTCCAACACATTGGCAAAAGGGCGAAATATACAACAAATCTAAAAGTCCTTTGGAAATATGTGCCACAGTCTTTAGAAATATTTAATCTTTGCTTCAATCATAGGGGTTCTAAAATTTTATTCTAACATAATAATCGGGCAAATATGCAATATATATGTAAAAAGATGTTCATTCCAGCATTATTTCTAATAAAAAAGTAAGAAAGACTCTAAATATAACCTCACACGTGAAGGGACTGTGGTAACCTGGTTGGCACAATTTAAGAAACAACCTAAATATGTTTCCCCCATATGAAGAGGGGTATGGACCAATGCTGGTAGAGGGCTGAGTATGGTACACAGTGTGACTGAAGAAAAAAATCTTTTTATACCCAGATACACAATGCTTTGCAGTGACAAGAGCCTACGAGTGTAACCCAAGCCTGAAGATTTATGATCACAATCATAGAGTAACCTCAACCTGAACATGACATGGAGAGGTTAGCTTGAGATTTACACTAACACTGGTGGCAGTGGGGCAGTAGACTCGATCCCCGGCACATAAGCTGTACAACTATTTCTATCAAGAGTCGACTTCTCCAAAACTGGTATCACTATGAGCAGAGAATCCCTGAGGCCTTCCTTTATGGTAGCGATTTAAAAAAAAAGCAACCACTTCTAAAGTAGATGTTTCAGAGGCAGTTATGGGGTTTCCAATCTTAATGAAATAATAACTCTGAGTTTTAAAATGTCTGCACCAACACAAGAGAAGCAATGTTCTCTATAAACACTTAGCAAGCATCCATAATTCTCGATTAATTCTTGGAGGCTCCAAAGTAGAAATACTGGATTGCCTGTGAGCTGGAAGGAGAGTGGCTTGAGACATTAATTTGAATGTAAAAGAAGTATGAATTAATATATCCTTCAAGTTGGTTCTACTCAGTATGCCGAACAAAATGCCTCAACTCTTTTTAAGTAAGAAAAAAAGATATGCTGTTTTGTTACTTCTCTCCCATATCCTTGTGCTCAATTAGGAAAAGATGAACTGATAAAATATACCGAGGACCCACCAGTCTAATTCCTGAGGATCCTTGGCAGGAACAGAGCCCAAATGAGAAAGGGTCTTTCTAAAGGGATGTTGCTTATAACTCACTGGAAACCACTTGAATAATGACTCTGAATTTGGAAGAACCGATCGGTGGAAGCAAACTTAAGTTCTACAGAGATGCTCTACTATGCAGAATTCAATGGTAGGAATAATGGCACAATGGACAATCCATGCTCAGCCTTAAGGCATTTCTGCTCAAATTTTCATAACACTACTGTAGATCCTAGATTTCTCTAATATTGATTAATATCACAAAGCCTATTTAGGATGTGGGTTGGAAGTTGTGTTAGCTAAGAAAAGAGAGCTTTCAGTTACAGCAAAACCATGGAGAAACATTCTGTCAGAAGGTAGAAGAAATAGAAGATTTTTACAAGGAGTACTAGAAAAAATTAATAAAGGAAGAGGGTGAAATATGGGCATAAAATGCACAAGAATAAGTGTATTTAGCAAAAACACATGCTTATGTGGTGCTCATGATGTGCCAGGCACTACTCAAAGAACTTCACGTGTATTTACTCATTGAATAACCTCTATAAGACCTATGAGGATGCTGCCAGTATTAACTGAGGAATGAGAAAACTGAGATGTAGAGGGCTGACAGCCTTTCCAGGTAAGTAGCTGAACTAAGGTTTAAATCCAGGCATCCTGGCTCTAGGCCTGTTTTTCAGCCACCACGCCTTGTAAGAAGTGGCAAAAACAACGTTTTTGTAGGAGAAATTTAATGGGAAGCAAGAATTTGGGAATTTGGCTGGATGAAACATGCAGGGTCCAGGAAGAAGTTGAGCATGCAGAAAGAATTTGGAAATGTGGCCAATAATAGCACCGTGCAGTTTGAGAGTTCATATGGTGGAAACAGCCATGTGGCACTGGCAGCCTCCTTAAACTTGATCTTCCTGTCCCATTGCCCTGGGCTTGGCTTTCCTTCACTACAAAGAACCCATTTGTTACTTCTAGTGAGAAAATTGAAAGTGGCTGTGGGAAATAAAGCTGAAATTACTCAACATCTGAGCAACCTGTTAGAAATGGCAATGACTGTCCTTAACCTTGAAAAACTCTCTCAAATGAAGACTGCTTGTAGCTGATTTCAAAGGTAAAAAGGAACACTGTTTTAATATCTGTGCGTTAAGCCCTTTATGTTATGCTTTGTTAGTCTTCACTGGCTATAATTTTTGCCACCATTATTTTATTTTTTGCCTTTTTGTCAGGGGTAGCACAATCATTAGCTCCTAAAATAATGAGAATTTAAGGTATTAATATTTTTCCTTTTCAGTGATTGTATGTAATTTAGGATTAAAAATACCAATAACTACATACTATTTTAGGCAAAGAAAGGAAATGAGCAAATGTTCACTATTTTAAGATGAGAGCATTATATAAAGGAAATTGTGGCCATAAAATTTAACCAAATCATGATTTATTTCTTATGATGAGAAAAACCTGGAATCGCATGAAAAAAAAAAAAAAATAGTCTCCAAACTGATAGGGAGCCAAGAGACCAACAGTTGATTCGGACAAGACCAAGCTAGTGAGTAGGTGAGTTTATTAGGACTTACATATGAGGCACTCCTGGACTGCAGCAGAACGGCTTTAGAGGTCTGCCCTGTCCCTTGTCTCTAAACCACTTTTAAGCCAATTTTCTGGCTTTTTGCCTACTGTGCTTAAGTGATGAGACTAGTTTCACCTGCTCGTCCACTGAGCCGCATGGCCTTGGCTCATTCTCTGGCCTTTAAGGTTCAGGCAGCAGGTATATGCCCTTGACTAGGCAGGTGGGAGACCCATCATACTAAAATCCATTCCATCTTCTAACTCTTTCATTCTTTCCACCAATCTTGCATGAGAGTCCCTGAGTGAGGGAGGAGAATTATACAGGTTTATAATGCAGAGCCATGGCTTGTGCATACAGACCATATCCGCAGCGTACACAATAGCATAAAAAGCAGAATCTAACAACAATTATTATATAATGCCTATTGGCAAAATACCACTCCAGTGAGAAGGTAAGGTATGTAACCAATTTGAGAATGAGTCAAAGAGCCTAACTGGGCTATATCATGGATCTGAGATGACAAATGATTTAAAGCATCTATGACATTATTTTCTTTATCAGTGATATGGTTTGGATTTGTGTTGCCACCCTAATCTCATGTTGAATTGTAATTCCTGATGTTGGAGGCAGGGCCTAGTGGGAGG
The DNA here is from genome assembly GCF_000001405.40 of Homo sapiens. NCBI lineage: Eukaryota > Metazoa > Chordata > Mammalia > Primates > Hominidae > Homo > Homo sapiens. Next base: position 228,373,568 of record NC_000002.12, on the reverse strand, counting down.
TGATTGGATGATGGGGGCAGTTTCTCATGGTTTAACACCATCTCCCTGGATGATGTCCTAATAGTGAGTGAGTTCTCATGAGATCTGGTTGTTTAAAAGTCTGTAGCACCCTCCGCCCCCTCTCTTCCTCCTGCTCTGGGTATGTAGGATGTGCCTGCTTCCTCTTTCACCTTCTGCCATGATTGAGGCCTCCCCAGAAGCTGAGCAGATGCCAGCATTCATGCTTCCTGTACATCCCGTGGAACTGTGAACCAATTAAATCTTTTTTCTTTATAAATTACCCAGTCTCAGACATGTCTTTACAGCAATGCAAGAAAGGAATAATACAATCAGGGATATAGGTATAACAGGTAATGCCTATAAGGGTGCATGTTGTTGGATCTCTGTTGAGTTAGTGATTGGGTTTCCAGGTAGAGGCGATCCCCGGTGAACCCAGGTTGCATTATTGGTGCTGTTGAACCAATCATTCCAGTTCTGTAGGGAGAAAGACAGACTATTCCAAGGCCTACCATTATCACTTGACAGTGGGAGGTATTCATATACCCTAAAATTGAACTGGTTGCTGACTGCAGCTGTGGTCATAGCCCAGTCCAAGAAGACATTACCAGCTGCCATGGGTAGCAAGAGCCATAGCCTGTGGGTGTAAACACAGGTGTTTAGTAGGAACGTTCATAGGTGCATCCATTCCTCATAACATAATTACTGCTGTACTTTCTCCCATTGGCCCTATTAGGGAAGCCATCACAGGTCTCAAGCCTGTCTTACAGTACCACATATGGCTTCCCTCCCCAGGAGCAAGCACAATAGCTAATTGGTAAGTTTCCGGCCTTGCTCACACTATCTGCACTAAGACTGTTCCAGCAGATATTAGTGCTGCCGTGAGCGGATATCATAAAGCTCTTGGGCCTCCATCAAGGAGCACAGCTGGGACTATTTCCCCTCCAACAGTCTTCATGGCACCCTCCAGTATGGGGATACTTTCCAGATCAACTTTACGTTCACGTGGCCATCAACACTTGGCAGATACACTTCTGTTCCCAGGGGCATGGTCTGGTCATCTGCTTTGGGAGCTGGGCTTGGAGTCTCTGCTGTAACCCTGAGAATTGGTGGAGCCTGTTTTTCAGGCCTTACCAACCATTCCTAGGGAGTGATACCATATGTGGTAGTGGGTGACTCATTTAAAATTTGCATAGCTTCAAGGAGAGTCTTTGTCCAGAACCTAAAGAACCATCCTGAGACAATATGTAAATGGGTTTTTAACAGGCCATTTATTTTTTATGGGACCCATCCCTGTTAGCTTATATGGTACATGGAACCTCCAGTCTATGTTTTGTTCCAATGCCCAATGTTGGATATCATGGCCCGTGAAATGGGGGCCTTGATCACTATGTCTTCTTTTTGGCATGTCCTGCATGAGACTAAGAGCAGTGGGACACTTGATGGTTTCCAGCTGAGTGCCACGATTTACTGGGAAGGCCTGTAGCAGCCCTGTTGTTGAATCCACACCAGTTAAGGCACAACTTTTTCCTCTGTTTGAGGGGCGAGGGGCCAATATAATAACTTGCCAGTCTTGCACAGACTGTATGGCTCAATGGATGTGACTTGGTGCTGAGGGAGCTTTTCTAGGCTGCAGCTATGAATAGATCTCACACTTCTGAGTAGCTGCATATTGGATAGAGTTGCCCACTGCCTTTGCTATGGCCCACCCTGTGGCCACGCCGCAGTGGCCACTTTTATAATGTACCCATGGGCTCGGGCAAATTGCTCACACGTGAATAAGGGCATCTGCCTCCTGATTTCTGGGAGGTGACTTGGGGCTGTTTGCATTCACATGGTACACTGTACGACAGGCATCCTTTTCTTGTAACCTGATCCAGATGTTCTCCTACATAGACATTCCCCAGAAGGGCTGCCTAAAACCTGCCAGTTGTCTGCAGCCCATTTATTGATCCATATGATAAGGCATCTGTATGTAGCTCAACTCTTTGTGCAAATGACTAGTGGCCAGGGCTCATGAGTAGTGAGTATTCACATTGCCCATGGCCCGGCCCATTGGCTGCTTTGTCCTAATCCTCATTCTATACATGTGGTGTCTGTATCTATTTGCACCATGACCACTGACCATTGATGTTAGGTGCTAGGCCCATAAGTGTACCAGGCCCTAGTACGTATCAGTGAGATCTCCTCATATATGGTGGTTTGCCTCGTAGGTATCTCCACTGCCATGCTGGTCCTTTCCACTTATTTAAAGCAGATGCATTCAAGCACCTTCTGTAGTGCCTGACTTAAAGGACTAATGGGGCCAGGTGCAGTGGCTCACCCCTGTAATCCCAGCACTTTGGGAGACTGAGGCCGGTGGATCACCCTGAGGTCAGGAGTTCGAGACCAGCCTGACCAACATGGCAAAACCCCATCTCTACTAAAAATACAAAAATTAGCCTGGTGTGGTGGTGCAGGTCTGTAATCCCAGCTAATCAGGAGGCTGAGGCAGGAGAATTGCTTGAATCCGGTAGGCAAAGGTTGTAGTGAGCCGAGATGGCGCCACTGCACTCCAGCCTGGGTGACACAGTAACACTCCATCTCAAAAAAAATAAGTAAATAAAAAAATAAAGGACTAATGGACAAGATACCATCCGTTGTAGCTAGACATGCCCCTTATGCAGGCTATGTGACTGTACCACCCCCAAAGCTGAGCTTGGCTAGAGGGCCTTCCACCCAAACTTTTATAGGATAGGTAGTTTTTACTGTGATGGTCTGCTTTCTGATGATGGCCTCCACTTGTTGCAATCCCCATACATGGCCAAGAGTTGTTGCTCTAGAACTGTACAGAATGAATCTGCTCCCTTCCATAATTGAGACCCAACCCCTACAGGTACCATTTCTGTTGGTTGCTTTTGTCGTAAACTTCAATTCATACCTGTGGCATCTCTAATAACTCCTAATACAAAAGCATGCTGTGGCAGTGTGGTACCTAATGCTCAGGCTTATTTCACCATTATTTTTGTTTTATCAGATGCCTCTTGCTCTATGTGTGTTCAGATCCAATTTTTATTTTTTTCACTAGGGTGTACCATGGGTGGAGGGTTTGTGCCAAATGAGAAATGAGTATCTTCCAGTAGCCCAAGAAACCTAGGAAAACCTGGAGTTGCTTTACTGTCTGGGAAATGGGCTGCTGTGCTGTCTTATCAATGACAGCTCCGAGTAGGTTTTGCATCTTAACCAGGAAACTCTCAAGAATTTGATCTCTATGCTGGGCCCCTGTTTCTTCTTGAGGTTGACTTTCCATTCCTTGTCCTTCAGGCTGTCCAAGACGATTCGTAGGACAGTCTCCAGGTCCGTAAGAGACTCAGAGGTTAGTATGTTATCATTAATGTAGTGAAACAGGTAGACTGAGGCAGGCAAGGGGAGTCTAGACAGGTCCTGGGCAACCATATTAGGACAGATGGTAGAGCTGTGCAGCCCCTTTTTTCTTTATAAATTACAGTTTATATTACCCTTTACCTCTTTAGAAAGCACCCAAGGAAGCTATCATTGTGGCGGCTCCCGGAAAGTCTGTTGGTTGTCCTAAGCGAAGGCAAACTGATCCTGTTTGCTAAGGGATACTGCTAAGGGATACTGGAAAAGGCATTAGACAAGCCAATCACAGCATGGACATTTCCCAGGCTAAGCACTACCTGCTCCAGCAGCTGAGCAATATTGGGCACAGCTGCATGTGCAGGGCGCACCACATTTTTTGGCTCATGGTAGTCTACCACCATTCTCCAAGTGCCATCTGGTTTCTTCACAGGCCACATAGGGCTGTTACAGGAGCTGTGGGCGGGCCAATTTGTACTTTATGCCAATAACTCAGAAAATCCTGCTATTTACATTAAACCAACAATATCAAATTAAACTTGCTTATCAAAAAATCACATAGACAAAGATCATTCTGATTTTGACAAGGTTTACAACCTTACAACCTTCATGTCAAATCCTGACACCTTGAAGTATCTGTCAGAGGCAAATATAAAACTTATCTAATCAGTAAACTCAGACAGAAATGTATGCTGACACTTTTGAAGACATTTTTATTCTACAAATAATTTTAAGGCCAGCTTATTTACCAAAGATTACTGAATTCACACAAGCTTGAAAAGCATTTGAACTTATTTAATTTATGACTACTCATTTATTTATGTGCCAATTTGGTAACATGTACATACATATAAACATGTACATACACATAAACATATTTAGGCTGGGGGCAGTGGCTCACGCCTGTAATCCCAACACTTTCGGATGCCAAGGCAGGTGGATCACCTGAGGTCAGGAGTTCAAGACCAGCCTAGCCAACATGGTGAAACCCCATCTCTACTAAAAATACAAAAATTAACTGGGCGTGGTGGGCGCATACCTGTAATCCCAGCTACTCAGGAGGCTGAGGCAGGACAATCATCTGAGCCCAGGAGGCAGAGGTTGCAGTGAGCCAAGATCTTGCCACTGCACTCAAGCCTGGGTGACAGAGCGAGACTCCATCTCAAAAACAAAAACAACAACAACAACAACATATTTAAACATACATATCATACACAGAGAAGGATCCAATAGCTTTTACCTCAGAACTCTTGTCATGAGACAATATCATAAACTCATTATTTTATAAAAGATAGTTGGATTCAAGTTATTTTTGACAAAATTGGGACCTGTTCACATGGCTCAACTTTATTTGTCCAAAAGCAGTTTCCATGGCTATTTGATTTTATAAAACCTCTTTAGCCCTTTTTTTCCCCCTCAGTTCCAAATGAATTTATTGTTTACATTTTAGCTGGAACTTACTGAACTGTTTAAGAAAAACAAAATTTCCAAGTGGCCTTTCATTAGTGGATTTTATAATATCTAATATCTCAATACTAGTAACAGTAGATTCTAAGCAGGCAGAAAAGGAAAAAGCAACATAGAGAGCTTTAGAAGACTCTACTTAACCATATAGTTGTAGGTTAACCATTTGAGCTCTGAATTTTTCTGAGAATTTGTCTATCAGTTTTAAAATGTGCACAAGAATGGGCCATAATACAAAACCAGGTTGAGTCCTAGAAAACCCGGCATGCGTTTGACCTTCTGCAGGAGTTTCTACCCTTTCTTCCTTTCCTGCTCTAACGATTTCTTAGTAACAAGCCCTATTGCAACAACAGCACACTTACTATTCTTACCGTACTCTAACATCTTAGCTTCTTGCAATAGAGGCCCAGTCTCCACCAGCTTTGTCCAAGTATTCCTGTACTCAAGTGGCGGCCCACAAAGGTTGAGCACTTGGGGCCGGGTGCGGTGGCTCATGCCTGTAATCCTAGCACTTCGGGAGGCCGAGGCGGGCAGATCACCAGAGGTCAGGAGATCGAGACCATCCTGGACAACATAGTGAAACCCCGTCTCTACTAAAATACAAAAAATTAGCCAGGCGTGGTGTTTGCGCACCTGTAGTCCCAGCTACTCTGGAGGCTGAGGCAGGGGAATCGCTTGAACCCGGGAGGCAGAGATTGCAGTGAGCTGAGATGGTGCCACTGCACTCCAGCCTGGGCGATAGAGCGAGACTCAGTCTCAAAAAAAAAAAAAAAGAAAAAAAAGGTTGAGCACTTGGACAACTCCACATACAAGTTGCCGACCATCCCGAGATTGCCCCGACAGATGTTCCTTCCTGACTCATCATTTGGTCTCTCAGATTCTGTTTGTGACACCAATTGTAACAAGAAAAACCCAGAATAATATAGAAAAACTGCCCCTCAAAACTGGGAGGGAGCTGAGAAACTGAAAAAGACTCAGAGAAGTCCATCTTGGTGAGTAGATGGGTTTATTAAGACTTACATACAAGGCACTTCTAGACCGCAGCAGGACATCTTGAGAGACCCGCCCTGCCCCTTGCCTCTGATCTACTTTTAGGCTAATTCTCTGGCTCTTTGCCCACCTTTTTAAGCAATGAGACTATTTTTCTTGGTAGGTTCTCAGATACTTTGGGGGATGTTTAGGTTCTCAGGAACACCTGCTCCTCCACTGAACCCCATGGACTTGGCTCATTGCCCAGCCTCAAGGTTCAGGCAGCAGGCATACACCTTGACTAGCTATGTAGGAAACCTGTCACACTACAGTTCTAATATAATATTTTCCATAAACTTAACCATATTGAGAAGCATCACAGAAAAGATTGAATCTATATTTCATTATTATTCTTCATTTTGAATAATAATGATTCAGCATTCCTCAATATCAGGGAATTTGTGAGCATATTTTGCTACACTTACCACCGTGTTATAAAATAAATTGTAACCTTTAAGTAATGGAAAGATTTATACAGAATTCAATAATTATCTTGTTTAATCTGATAGCAAATAATTTCCATTGAATGACAACAGAGTTAACTGGATAGCATCAAGCAATGTGCTATAGGTGGGAATTGAACAATGAGAACACTTGGACACAGGAAGGGGAACATCACACACTGGGGCCTGTTGTGGGGTCGGGGAAGGGGGAGGGGAAGCATTAGGAGATATACCTAATGTAAATGAAGAGTTAATGGGTGCAGCACACCAACATGGTACATGTATACACACGTAACAAACCTGCACATTGTGCACATGTACCCTAGAACTTAAAGTATAATAAAAAAAATTTAAAAAAATTAAAAAATAATAATAATAAAACACATTATACAATTCTAAGAAAATCATTTTTACAAAGCAATTAATAATGCGAGGTAATGTACTTTTGCTATGCAGCACTCTCAAATGCACAATTTTGAGCAAAAAGTTGTGTAAAGTATACATGGAAAGTTTATTCAATTATGGAAAGATACACTGTAATAACAGCTATAATCTATAATCACAAAATCAAGGTACATAGGATAGAAATCATTTGCTATTAATGAAAGGAAAGACAGAGAAGAGGGGAGATAGAGGACAGATGAGAGAGAAACAGAGACAGAGACAGAAATAGAGACAGAAACAGAGAGACAGGTAGACTTGTTTCATGAAGAACTCCTATAATATGTAGACAATTTACAGTGTTGATTCTTGTGTAAATAAAAGGTAGATAATTTAAAGCTTTGTATATCAAGGCATTTTAACATCTTTAAGTATGTAGAAAATTAAGATATTGTTATAAACTCTGACATACAGACTGAGAGAAAATGTCTCTTCAAGACAGATTTTACACAAGTTGAACCTGAAATGACTTGTATCTAAAGTAATATATTCTATCTAGTACATTTAAATACATGGTTTTTTATTGGAATGGTACAAATACTATTCACTAATAAAATCTCTTAGGTTATAACATCCAAAAATTTAGTTGTAAATGCATATGTATTAAAGGTAGCTTTTTCTAAAAATGTCTAGATGTAAAATATTAAAATGAAGAAATATAAAATTGCTACTGTTTTTTAAAGGATTTGTCATGATCAGTATTTTTCTATGCCCTTTTTAATTTACATAAGCTGCTAGTATTTATAATTTGCTTTTCAGCATTTTTTTATAAATCAGAGTCAAAAACTGAATCCACAATTTAGTGGATACAATCCTCTTAGGTAGAAAACTTTATTTCAGTGTCTTAAACTGCCTAAATTATCATTTGGTTGTTACATCGGCATCCTTGTTGCAAAGGAAATTATATTCTGACACAGAAAATTCAGCTGGAATGTGGCAAAACAGAAAATAAGTTATGTGACCATATTACCTATTATGTTTAATATCATCATGAACAATTTCATTCTTGGAAATTTCTATTTACATAACTACCATTTTCTCAATGAAATACACTTTTGCTGCATACATTGCATTGACTTAACAATTATGTACCAAAGTCCGTTCTTTTCTCTTAATCATACTCTGAAATATCAGAGTTACTTGGAATTAAAATGAATCATCAGTTATTTTTTTTTCCAAGAACACAGCCACCACCTTGATGCTGACTTAATTTTCATAGTGTCATTTTGTTTTATTGATCATCTCATAAGTTAAATACCAGAATTTGAAAACCCGGAAAAGACGGTCTTTTTGCTTGGGCTTTACACACCTAGAAGAAAAATGCCAGCGTCCTAAACCTCCATGTAATATACTTGTAAAAAAACTTGACTAATGGTAGCAGTCACCAAAAAGTGCAAATATAGGATCATATGGTAGTTGCATGTTTAGTTTTTTAAAAAAGTGATAAACTGTTCTCCAGACTGGCTATATCATCTTAACATTCCCAACCACAATGAATGAATGATCCAGTTTCTTTGAATTCCAGCCAACATTTGGTATATCTATTATTTTTTACTTTAGACATTCTGACAGAGGTGTAGTAATATCTTATTGTGATATTAATTTGCATTTCCCTGATGGCTAATGATGCCGAAACTTCTTTTCATGGGCTTATTTGCCATCTGTCTCTCCTCTTTAGTGAAATGTCTGTTTATGTCATTTGACCATTTATTAACTGGACATTTTTCTATTGAAATTTTATATATTCTATACACTAGTCCTTTGTTGGATGTCATTTGCAAATATTTTCTTCAAGTTTGTAACTTGTCTTTTCATCCTCTTAACAGAGTCTTTCACAGAGCAAAGTTTTAAATTTGATGGGATCCAGTTCATTAATTTTAATTTTACGGATCATGCCTTTTGGCATTAACTCTAAGAACTCTAAGCCTAGCTCTATATACTCAACACTTTTTCCTATGTTTTTTTCTTTTTTGGTTTCACAGATTTATATTTTACATTTAAGACTGCAATGCACTTAGAGTTAATTTTTGTATGAAGTATGAACTAAAAATAGCTGTTGGCCTAAATCTAAAATGTAAATCAATAAAAGTTCCAGAAGAATACATAGCAGAAAATCTCTGTGACTTTACATTTAGAAAAGTGTTTTTAGATTTGAAACCAAAAGCATGATCCATTAAAAAATTTGATAAATTGGACTTCATTAAAATTAATAATACTGTGCAATAGTCTGTGGGGAAAAGCAAGAGAGATCAGATTGTCACTGTGTCTGTGTAGAAAGAAGTAGACATGGGAGACTCCATTTTGTTATGTACCAAGAAAAATTCTTCTGCCTTGAGATTCTGTTAATCTATAACCTTACCCCCAACCCCGTGCTCTCTGAAACATGTGCTGTGTCAACTCAGAGTTAAATGGATTAAGGGCGGTGCAAGATGTGCTTTGTTAAACAGATGCTTGAAGGCAGCACGCTCCTTAAGAGTCATCACCACTCCCTAATCTCAAGTACCCAGGGACACAAAAACTGCGGAAGGCCACAGGGACCTCTGCCTAGGAAAGCCAGGTATTGTCCAACGTTTCTCCCCATGTGATAGTCTGAAATATGGCCTCGTGGGAAGGGAAAGACCTGACCGTCCCCCAGCCCGACACCCGTAAAGGGTCTGTGCTGAGGAGGATTAGTATAAGAGGAAGGCATGCCTCTTGCAGTTGAGACAAGAGGAAGGCATCTGTCTCCTGCCCATCCCTGGGCAATGGAATGTCTCGGTATAAAACCCGATTGTACGTTCCATCTACTTAGATAGGGAAAAACCGCCTTAGGGCTGGAGGTGGGACATGCGGGCAGCAATACTGCTTTGTAAAGCATTGAGATGTTTATGTGTATGCATATCTAAAAGCACAGCACTTAATCCTTTACCTTGTCTATGATGCAAAGACCTTTGTTCACGTGTTTGTCTGCTGACCCTCTCCCCACAATTGTCTTGTGACCCTGACACATCCCCCTCTCGGAGAAACACCCATGAATGATCAATAAATACTAAGGGAACTCAGAGGCTGGCGGGATCCTCCATATGCTGAACGCTGGTTCCCCGGGCCCCCTTATTTCTTTCTCTATACTTTGTCTCTGTGTCTTTTTCTTTCCTAAGTCTCTCGTTCCACCTTACGAGAAACACCCACAGGTGTGGAGGGGCAACCCACCCCTTCAATAGTCACTGTTTAGAGAATGAAAAGGCAGGCCACAGCTAAGATAAAATATTTGCTAATCACATATCTGAAAGGAATTTGCATCCAGAATACATAAAGCACTCTAACAATTTGCTAATAAGGAAACAAACAACCCACTTATATATTGAGAAGACTTTGGAAAATACATTTTCGATACCAAACTTTGGTGAGGATAAGAAGCAAATGGAATGCAAAATTGATTTTGCCACTTTGGAAAATATTTTCATAGTTTCTGTTTTTTTTTTTGAGATGGAGTCTCCCTCTGTCACCAGGCTGGAGTGTGCAATGGCGCAATCTCGGCTCACTGCAACCTCCACCTCCCAGGTTCAAGCTATTCTCCTGCCTCAGCCTCCCTAGTAGCTAGGACTACAGGTGTGCGCCACCACACTCAGCTAATTTTTGTACTTTTAGTAGAGCTGGGGTTTCACCATGTTGGCCAGAATGGTCTTGATCTTCTGACCTTGTGATCCGCCTGCTTCGGCCGCCCAAAGTGCTGGGATTACAGGCGTGAGCCACCCCGCCCAGCCATAGTTTGTTTTCAATTTAAATATACACTTAACTATATGACCCAGCAGTACCATTCCTGTTGTTACCCCAGGAAAATAAAAATGTATGCTTCTAGAAAAACATGCGTGAATGTTTCTAGCAGCTTTGTTTATAGTCACTAAAAACTAGGAACAACCCAGATGTTCTTCAACTGGTGAATAAATAAACCATGCATACCCATACAATGGAAAACTACTCAACACAAAAGAGAAACTAATTATTGATTCAAGTTGATGTGGTTTGGCTGTGTCCCCATCTAAATCTCATCTTGAATTGTAATCCTCATAGTCCCCACATGTAGTGGGAGGGACCCATGGGAAGTAATTGAATCATGGGGGCGGTTTCCCCCATGCTGTTCTCATGATAGTGAGTGAGTTCTCATGAGATCTGATGGTTTTATAAATGTGTGGCATTTCCCCTGCTTTCACTCACTCTGTCCTGCCATCCTGTGAAGGTGCCTGCTTCTCCTTCACCTTCCGTCATGATTGTAAGTTTCCTGAGGCCTTCCCAGCCACATGGAACTGTGAGTCAATTAAACTTCTTTCCTTTATAAATTACCCAGTCTTGGGTATTTCTTCATAACAGCATAAGAACGAACTAATACACATGTGCAATATGGATGAATTTTTAATTTTGGTATGTGAAAGAAGCCAGGCCAAGAGGCCACATAGTGTAATTTTCCATTTGTATGACATTCTCAATCAACAATGCTGCAGAGATGGAAAACAGATTGTAGTATTCAGGGTTAGAGTTGCAGGAAAGGGTATTACAAAGGGGCAGCATAAGAAAACTTTGAAGTAATAGAACTGTTCTTTATGATACTGTGCTGGTGGATTCACAACTCTAGGAGTTTTCACAACACACAGAACACCGCAAAGAATAATTGTCTTCTACACAAATTTTAAAAGTTGACCAAGATACAAAGGGTACCCAAGATGGATTATAGACTGTGACAAATGAATCTAATTGTACTAAAAATAAGTGATATGACAACATTATATTTGCACAGAAGTAAGGAGCTGACCTAAGTTACTTTGAAAAATAATGTTTGACTACATATTGGAATGTTAAAGATAAAAATAAAAGTACGCACTGTATTCTAGTTAGTAAATTTGTAATAAGATATGAGTTAGCAATGCTGAAACTTCTTTATAGCAGGGCTGAAAGAAGTAAATAAGTGTACTATGGATAATAAAAGCAGGTTTGAAAAAAAAATTGAAGTAAGCCAAAATGGAATGTAAGAATCTACCACGGCCTGGTGCGGCAGCTCAGGCCTATAATCCCAGCAGTTTGGGAGGCTGAGGCAGGGGGATCACCTGAGGTTGGGAGTTTGAGACCAGTTTGACCAATATGGAGAAACTCCGTCTCTACTAAAAATACAAAAATTAGCCAGGCGTGGTGGCGGGCACCTGTAATCCCAGCTACTCGGGAGGCTGAGGCAGGAGAATCACCTGAACTCAGGAGGCAGAGGTTGCAGTGAGCCAAGATTGCGTCATTGCACTCCAGCCTGAGCAACAAGAGCGAAACTCTGTCTCAATTAAAAAAAAAAAAAAAAAAGAATCTACCACTATGGAGTTGGGTTGGAGTTGGAGGTATTAGTGTGAGCTCTTGTTTCTGTAACCATGCAGTCATATAGTCTACACAGAAAGCAAGAGGGAGCTTTGCACACATGCTGTATTAAACATCAATACCCAAAAGTAAAATGTAATTTTTAAACATGAAATGTAAATAGTTTTGAAGAAGGCACCTCAGTAAAAAAAAAAAAAAAAAAAAAAAAAAAATCTAACCAAAGACATAAGGGGCTTTGAAGAAAATATTAAAATTGTATTGAAAGATGTTAAGACGACCTATATTATTTTCCATTGCAAATTTAAGCCATTCACTTGTAGACAACACATAAAGCAGAATCAAAAAAGAAAAGATTTTAAAATACTAAAAATTTGTTTGAATGACTATTTCCCTCCACAAAATAAATATTCATGATGATTTTTCTTTCATTAATTAAAGTTAGTAATTTAATAAATAGGGGTGGAATAGTATTCACAAAATAAGTAATAATGGGTACAGGGCTCAATTGAGTTTTAAGGAATATGATTCTTTCCGCAGGCTGAATTGATTAAACCAGAGATAATCAATTTGCCTAAATGAAGAAAATTAAGATGAATTAACGAAGCGATTTGTATCAACAGGTGGTGTCGACAATGGTTGAGAGACAAGCTTTGGGCTGAGACTGGCTGGGTTTGATTTCTTGAGCATCTGTGGCATCAGAGAAATAACAGCACTTGTCTTCTAGAATTAGCAATTCTAACGAAATAACAAATGTGAAGTGTGAAGCATGGTGCTGGCACATAGTTAGTGCCCTGCAAGTAGTAACAGTTAATAATATGACTATCATTAATTAACTCAATTGAAAATATCCAGCAACTCTAGGGATATGAGAATGTAAATAGTCCTGTAAATGATTAAAAATATATTATCAAAACCCTGCATCTACTGGAAAGAACTCTCATTTGCATTACTCGCCTATCCTAAACTTGTGTACCTAAGAAAAAGAACTTAGAGTACCTAAGATACCTCCTGGCTTAACTTTTTACATAAGCTCAAACAAATTATTGCTACTATTCTTTCATATTCCACAACACTGTTGTTGAATGCATTATTCCACAGAGAAAGTTGACATCCTTCTATTAAATTACACATTTAAAAAAATTGGTAGAAAATAGTAAGATCGTAATTTCCCATCACAATCCAACATTTGAAAAATATCCAGAGAAGTACGATACTGCTTTTGCATTAATGCCATATTGAAGAAACAAACTTTTCTATGCAAGAATTGACAATATTCATCATATTCTTTGAGGAGTCTCCAGGTTTAAAATGTCAAGTGTCTTTAAGTATGCCAAATTTTGACCTAGAAATATTTTAATAGCAAAGATTTTTTAATTATGCACTTTCTATTCAAGTAATAACACTGAATAGCAATAAATTATAAAATCATCACTATTAAATAATCTAATATTGGCTTATTCATGAAATAGACTTTTCATTTAATAAAGCAAAACTTCATATTATTTTTACATGCAGTTCAATACAAAACTATTATCTAGAATCTCATACAGGCCATGTCTATTTTTATTAATTTAATGAAAAGAGAATGGATGACATAAAGTTAAATAAAGATGACCTTATTCTGCTCTGGGGATTTTAGTTTACTTTTCCAACTCACATCTCTATAAAGAATTTGAGTTTCAGTGTGTTTGTTAAAAATAATAAAAATTAATATTATTTTCATATATATTCTTCTGTGTGTGTATAAACACATATTTTATACACACAGATGTATGTTGTGTTAGAATGACAAGGTGAAGGAGCCGAAATTAACACTGATTTTCTCAGTCACTGTTTCTATGGAAACATGACAGCTAACAGAAATACATAAAATCTGAACTCCTTTGCAGTAACATTAGTATAATTGTCTTACTCTTGACAAAGGAAATAGTATTGCTCATGCCTATATTTTCAAAATTATGTTTTCTAAATGACCCAAACTGTTGGCTCATTTAGAAACCATCTCCTTTCCAGTTGAGAACAAATTCAATTTTTATTAAAGTGAATTTATTTTAAGTTTCCCCTTGAAAACCCTTTAAGTCATGCATAATATAAGGCACATGAATTATAGTCTGTGAATAAAGCCTGTAACCACCTAATACAGTGTCCTGTGGAATGTGTTCACAATTAAATTTTAAACTCAAAGATTTAAATGGCAAACATTTAATACTTTTTTTGCTGGTTATATAATTCATTGATTTGGGAGTAAAAATTGAAAATAAGTTGAAAGATAAGAACAAAAAACCAAACATCGCATATTCTCACTCATAGGTGGGAATTGAACAATGAGAATACATGGACACAGGAAGGGGAACATCACACTCTGGGAACTGTTGTGGGGTGGGGGGAAGGGGGGAGGGATAGCATTGGGAGATATACCTAATGCTAGATGACGAGTTAGTGGGTGCAGCGCACCAGCATGGCACATGTATACATATATAACTAGCCTGCACATTGTGCACATGTACCCTAAAACTTAAAGTATAATAATAATAAAAAATAAAAATAAATAAATAAATAAATATTTGGTAAGACTAAAAAAAAAAAAAAAAAGAAAGATAACCTGCAAAATAAATATAAAGAATTACATAAAACCATGGCTACTGACTACAAACACAGCCATGGCCTGTATTATCTGTGGGTACTGTCTCATTACAAAGGTAGAATAGGTGTCCTCTTGGCTCACAAAGCTGAAAATATTTATTATCTGGACTTTTACAGAAAAAAAAGTTTGAATAAAGTATGCCAAAGTATATTCACTGTTTCGTTGTTGCAATACTAAAAAATTGGAAAAACCGAAACATATTTGAGACAATGAATGAATGAGTAAAATATGACATATTTACAAAATGGGATCTTACACAGAGAAAAATGAATAAACTTCATATCTATGGAAATGCGTTTGATATGGACACTGGAAAATATAGAGTGATAAAAGCTGTATGTACTATGGTACGTTTTCACAAACACCATTTGTAAAGGTTTTAAAAGAAGAGAAATCAATATTTTATGTAATAGCATTTTTTAAATGTATTGGAATGATTAATATCAAATCAATTAAAGTAGTGGCATCTGGTGAACGGGGGAGGAAATGGATGTTGAAAAAGAAACAAAGGCGGCCTCAAATGTATTTTAATGTTTTATATCTTATAAAATATATTTCTTATATTTTAAAATGTTTTGAAGAAAATAGGAAAAATAAAACAAAAGAAATTTAACATTTAATTAATTAAAACACAAAATTTACAATTAATGTATCCCTATACAGTATTTCACTCATTATTTGCTTAACAAATGTCACATTTAATTAGAATGTTGAATTTGCCATATTTACTGAACAAAATTATCATGAATTTTTAGAAGTATTTTCTCAATCATTATATTCCAAGACATCAATTGCTTATGTTTTCAGCTCTGTATATTGTCATGATTAATTTGATAAAATGATAGCCTACCTTCTAAATACAATGTATTACTAGAAACAAATTTTTTAAAACCGATAAACTTACTGCCTTTTTTCTAAATTTAAAGATAGGTTTGTTCATATAAATTGAAATGTTCCTCCTAAGTTTTTCTCTGTAAAGTTTGACTCTTTGCCTAAAGATAAAAAAGCAGTTTCTGAAAAGTCATCTCTCTAATCGGGCATTTATATTAATCTAATTATATTTTATTTTATTTTTGAGACAGAGTCTCGTTCTGTCGCCCAGGCTGGAGTGCAATGGAGCGATCTCAGCTCTCTGCAACCTCCTCCTCTCAGGTTCAAGTAATTCTCCTGCCTCAGCCTCTCGAGTAGCTGGGATTACAGGGGCCTGCCACCACGCCTGGCTAATTTTTGTATTTTTAGTAGAGACTAAAATGGGGTTTCGCCATGTTGACCGGGCTGGTCTCAAACTCCTGATCTCAGGTGATCCTCCCACCTCAGCCTCCCAAAGTGCTGGGATGACAAGCGTAAGCCACCCCGCAGGGCCTCTAATTAACATCTTAACCTATATTGCTTTAATGTTCCTAGGAGGAAAAAAACTGAATATATGTTTTACAACTTATCAGAAATAAACTTTCTTTTGATGTTTGCTCAGTATCCTGAGAAGTTAATCTAATCAAATAAGTAAGCAAGGATTTCAATTCACAGATTATGTCATCTAAAGTATGCAGTTGACAACATTTACACCTTACCTCTCACCTCATTTCCTAATCCTTATGTCTGTGTCCCAAGAAGTTAGAGACCAAGAATAAATGATTGTGAAAAGTCACTTCTTTTTGGAAACGAGCAAAATTAACACCTCATAAAACACCAGTGAAGAAAAATCCAATTTAGCATCTTGACGGAGGCCCAAAAAACTATTTTATTTTGAGCAAAAACTCAGTGAGCCACATTATCTGGAAGAAAGGAAAGAGACTGAAGAAAATTTTTATAGTAAATATAATTCTAGTATCCTGTTTTTAAATGTCAAAAAAAAGTAAAAAAAAAAAATAAGATAATCACAAAATTCTTCCGTTCCTGCTTTCAGTATGATCATTTCAGCTGTAAATTCAGCAATGGTAACTCAAAACAGACAATTATGAATAAAGGTAAACAAACTCTTTATTCTTAAGTTAATAGAAGTTTAAAGTAAAATTTTCGGTTTTGGTTGGGTGCATAAAAATGTAGAAACATTGCTTTGTTTGAGTAACCACTTAATGTGCAGAATAAATTTTCTTTCTAGAATGAGTACTTGTGGCAACGGTAAATGAGGGGACCAAATGGACAGGAAGTTAGGTGAGTCTTACAATGAGTAAAACTCAGAAATGTCTTTTCAGGACAGGAGTGAGAATCATTAATAGAGCTAGGTCCTAAAATAGAATGGGGATGAGGCTCAGGGGTAGCATGAAACTCATGGACAGGTAAGGTTCAGATATGGAATGAAATTCAGAACTTAGGAAAAATGAAAGAAGGCAGGAGATAAAAGTTCTCACTGATCAGAAGAATGGGAAAAGATGCTCTTGTAATCTGAAAAGCATGGGGAAATTCACTATTATTTTTTCCCCCACACTTTGCTTTCACTGCTTTGCCCCATACAAGATCTAGTCATGAAAGTATATACGTAAAGGCTAAAACTCCAGCTTTTTGGAAAGTGTGTGGATGAAAGGGACCCTTGGCAACCAAAGATTGGGGACACACATAGAGAAGAGGAGCTGGAGAAAACTGCCCTTTTTAAAAAAAAAAAATTAAGAAATGGGGTCTTGCTCTGTGGCTCAGGCTGTGGTGAAGTGGCACAATCACAGATCACTGCAGCCTCAAACTCTTGGGCTCAGATGATCCTCCTGCCTCATGCCCCTGTGTAGTTGAGATTACGAGTGTTAGCTGCCATGCCCAGGAAAAAGCATACTTTGAATGGAGTCCTGAGCTCAACCACAAGAGGCACATGCATGGAGCTGACCTAACACAACATAGTAAAGCTTTAAGAACTGACCTATGGTACAGACTACTGCCTAGATCTCAGAGAAACCCCAAAGGCACACACGACAGAGCAGTTGAAAATAGCACAGCAAAGGATTTTATAAACAAAAATGACATTCAAACAATAGTCTACAGACGTGGACTAGTACTCATAGTCTGAATGCAACCAAATCGATTGCATGCTAAAAGAAACAACATTCTCCAGAAAATTACAAAGGCAACAGAATTTTATTACATAATATTCAAAATGTCCAGGATATAATAAAAATATTTGATATATGAATAATCATAAAAATATCTCAAGGGATTAACTCTTAAGGGAAATGACAGTCAATAGGCAGATGCTAAACCCAAACTGACCAAGATGTTGGAATTATTCAAAAAAGACTTGGAAATTAGAATTATAGTTATGGCCCATGAATTAAGAGTGAACACTCTTGAAACAGATAGTTGTCAGGAGAGAAACGGAAGAAACAGAAAAGAATAAGATGGCATTTTTTTTTTTTTTTTGAGTCAGAGTTTTGCTCTGTCACCCAGGCTGGAGTGCAATGGCACAATCTCGGCTTGCTGCAACATCCGCCTCCCAGGTTCAAGCAATTCTCCTGAAAATGGCAATTTTATAACAAAGAAATTAATTATTGAGAATTTTAAAATTCACTGAAAGAGAGCCATAGCAGAATGGAAATAACAGAAGAAGGAGTCGGCAGACTTGAAGATAAAAATCAATAGGAATTATATCATCTGAAAAAAAATTGAGAATATTATAAACAGCCTCAGAGACTTGTAGGATATTATCAAAAGGTTATTCATGTTGTCATTAGAATTCTGAAAGGAGAAAAGATAGAGATTGGTATGGTAAAAAAGGTTTGATTTAATAATGGCTTAAAACATCACTAATTGGATGAAAGACAATCCTATAGATAAAAGAAGCTCAGTCAGCCTCAAATAGATTAAACTCAAAGAAAACCACACCCAGATACATCATAACTGAAGTACTGAAAATCAAAATATTAAGAAAAATCTTAAAAGCAGACAGAAAAAAATGGCATTATGTAGAGAGCAATGAAGATTCAAAGGACTACACATCTCTTGCAAATAATCATGAATGCCAGAGACAGTGAATCAATATTTTGAAAGTGCTAGGGAAAACAACAACAACTCTGTCCTTCCAGAATTCTATATCCAGTGAAAACATACTTCAGGAATAAAAACAAAATAAAGATACTCAAAAATGGTAAAAAAAAAAAATAGACAATTTGTCACAAGTACACCTGTTCTAAAAGAAAGGCTAAAAAAAAAAAAGTTTGTATGCAGAGAACCATTGACAAAATAAGAAAACTTGGAACTTCAGAATGAAGGAAGAACCACCAAAATGATAAAAATATAAATAATTGTAATAGGTCATATGTCACTGTTTAATATGGTTTTCAGTGTTCACAGATATGACACATGTGACAAGTATAACATAAAGGAAGGAACGAAGGGACCTATAGTGTGATAGCTATTTCTATCACACTACGTCAAGTAAGACAGCTACGTCTTACTTGAGGTAATAAAATATGATCTCTAAGTAGACTGTGAAAAGTTAGACATGTACATTGTAATCCCTGATAAAGCACTAAAAATTACACAGAAATAATCAAGATTTTAACAGGTTGATTCTAAAATTCACATGAAAAGGCAAAGGAATTAGAATCGCCAAAACAATTTTGAAAAAGAACAAATTTGCTCTACTTACACTACCTAATTTTAGGACTCACTATAAAGCTATAATGATCAAGAAAGTGTGGGAGTGACAAAAGGATAGACATATTGATCAATGGAACATATAGCAAGTCCAATAATTCATCCACACAAACATAGTCAATTCATTTTTGATAAACGTATAGAGCTGAATCAAGATTTTAGATTTTATCACACTTACAAACTTTTGATCTGTGAATGTCATTGTTAAGAGAATGAAAAACAAGCTAGGAAAAATATTTTCAAATTACATATTGAGCAAAGGATATAAATCCAGAACATGGAAAGAACTCTTAAAACAACAAGGGAAAAAAACTCAAAAGTTTGTAAAATATTTTAACAGACACTTCACCACAGAGTACCTATGGATGATAGCTAAATACATAAAAATATGTTAAATTTTATTAGTCCTTAGGAAAATACAAAGTAAAATTATAAAAGGATACCAATACACACCTAATAGAATGGTGAACATTTTTTTAAATGCCAATACCAAGTGCAGACAAGAATCTGGAGCAACTGGAAATCTCATACATTTTTAATAGGAATGCAAAATGGCACTATGGAAAATACTTCAACAAACTTATTTTATAAATAGACTCATATGTGTTTCAGTAATCTTATTCTTAGGTACTTACACTAAATAAATGAAAATATATTTACACAAAAACCTGAACTCAAGTGTTTATAGCAGCATTATTTATAATCACCTCAAACTAGAAACAACCTAAAACTTTTTGTCGCTTAAGTAGGTAAATGGATAAACAAAGTTTGGTACATTTATACAATGCACCTTTGCTCATCAATAAAAATAAACAAGCTGCTGATACACATGACAATATAGATGTGAAAGAAGACAGACTTAAAAGGTTACATACTGTATGATTACATATATATGACATCCTGGAAAAGTGAAAACTCTTATGATAAAGAACAGATCAATGGTTTCCAGGGGTAAGAAGTGCATATAACATTTGACAAAAAAGAAATAGTACAAGGCAATTTTTTTATTTGAAAGAACTATTCCGGGGAGCCAGCAGCAGAGGAGCCCGGGACATGGGCCCAGGGCGGGGATGCACCATCGGGGGGTGGGAACTGGTGTCATCGCCGCAGAGAAATTTGCCAAGGCCAGCTGGGCCCGGCAGCTCACGCCTGTAATCCTAGCACTTTGGGAGGCTGAGGCGGGTGGATCACCTGAGGTCAGGAGTTCGAGACCAACATTGTCCAACATGGTGAAACCCCATCTCTACTAAAAATACAAAAAATTAGCCAGGCGTGGTGGCACGTGCCTGTAGTCCCAGCTACTCAGGAGGCTGAGGCAGGAGAATTGCTCGAACCTGGGAGGCAGAGGTTGCAGTGAGCCAAGATAGTGTCACTGCACTCCAGCCTGGGCAACAGAGCAAGACTCCATCTCAAAAATAAAGAAAAAAAAGAAAAGAAATTTTCCAAGGCTTAGTATAAGGAGCAAAGGACGGTCTTGGCTGAGGACCAGCTAGCCCAGATGTCAAAGCAGTTGGGCATGTTCAAGACCAACCTGGAGGAATTTGCCAGCAAGCACAAGCAGGAGATCCGGAAGGATCCTGAGTTCCATGTGCAGTTCCAGGACATGTGTGCAACCTTTGGGGTGGAGCCTTTGGCCTCTGGAAAAGGATTTTGATCTGAGATGCTGGGTGTGGGGGATTTTTATTACGAACTCGGTGTCCACATTACCAAAGTGTGCCTAGTGCTGAGCATTGGAGTGGAGGTCCAATAACTCTAGAGGAACTACATCAACAGGTGTTAAAAGGAAGGGGCAAGTTCACCCAGGATGTCAGTCAAGACAACCTGATCAGGGCCATCAAGAAACTAAAGGCACTTGGCACTGGCTTCAGCATCATCCCCATGAGTGGCACTTACCTCATTCAGTCTGTTCCAGCTGAATTCAATATGGATCACACCATGGGGCTGCAGCTGGCAGAGAAAAATGGCTATTGACTGTCAGAGAGATCAAAGCCAGTCTTAAATGGGAGAACCAATGAGCAGGGCAAGTGCCAGAACACCTGCTGAGAGAAGGGCTGGCGTGGCTGGACTTACAGGCCCCAGGGGAGATCCACTACTGGCTGCCAGCTCTCTTCACTGACCTCTACTCCCAGGAGATTACAGCTGAGGAAGCCAGAGAAGTCTTCCCCTGAGTGTGGAAGACTTCTATTGGCCAATAAACCTGGGCAGTTTTGTTTATTAAAAAAAAAAAAAAAAATAGAAAAAAAAGCTCCCTTCAAAAAAGAACTATTCTGTATTTTGATTATAAGGGAGGTTACATGACTATGCTTTGTTAAAACTCTACATCAAAAATGTGAATTTTACAATATACATTTTAAAAATTCAAAATGAAACAATAGTAATTTATGATAGCCATTTTACCCACTAACCTTATATCAATGCCATTTCTTACACTTGATTACATGCCTCTGTGGCTCTAACTCCCAATGGATGTGAGATACTGAATTATAAGGAGTTTAGTGCACAATCGCATCTCCATCTGAATATATGGGAGTGGAGCCATCAAAAGCAAAGCCTGTGAGGTTCTCCTGGAAAAATCACATGCCCAAGATCAAAGGACGGATGAAACCTAAGACTCTTAAGCATCATAGCGTGGTTATTTCTAAGGTCAGGGCATCACTTTGCTAATCAATATGAGCAATATTATTTCCTAAATAAGGTTTATGCCCTTTCACTTTGCTATAATATAATGGTGGCTCCTAGTTAAAAGTAGGAGACAGGCAGAACTCCGTAGCAGTTGTACATAGCTTAATCTATAGCTAATATTCAGCCAGAATACAATAATATCAAGCTTGTTAACATATTTTAAAACTTTTGTAATCATTGGCAAATAACATCTGCCCCTAACCCCGCAAGCACAGCACGATATTGCTAGCTACCCGAGCCTGTCTCCACATCTCCAGAAACTCCCCACAATCCAGCAACCAAAGAGTTAATGTTTGGCTCGGTGAGGAAACCTCAAGGACTGCTCTAGCAACAAAGCTTGATCTGCTCCCATTCTTCAGTACACAAGCCAACTCAATTGTTAGACACTTAGATTATGATTTCTGGCTTAGCCTCAGTTGAATGTGTCTTAAACTTCTCAAAGCGCGGCAGGCCCTTCTGTATTCAGCAATCCTTCTCCCCTGGTGAGCATGGTGCAGAATAGTGTTAATAGAGGAAGCAGGTTGAAGTCACAATCTGCTCTACCCCTGAAAAAAACACCATCCCCTCTGTAATAGTTGGATTATGGTGGTTACTGAAAAGGGATGACAGCACCCAAGGAATTTCCTGTCAATTCTGTGTCAAACTCAACATTACGTTGAGGATGACTGCGTTATTTTTGTCTTCAATCCACACATTCTTCAAGTATTTAACAAATGCTTTTGAGTGAATTAATTTTAAAATACTAAATAGAAATATTTCTATTCTAGAAATAAAAATATTAACATTGAAGCATTTGAAAACAGCAGAAACATACTGATTATTCAAAATATCTCATATATAATAGAAATCAGTATATTTATTGTGCTAGTAATAAAAATTGAAGGACATAATATTTTCAGTCTTTATCCTAAGTCTGCTTTTGTAGTGATAAAAGCTGTTATATAGCAGATTTTTACAACTTATTTTTTTCTCAGTGTGTGTAGAATTTTGCATTATAAACTACTTCAATTTGAGTAAATTTTGTATGACCAGATGTGACATTTTATTGTACACAGAAAAGTATATTAGATTGTTAATTAAGATTTTACATGACTATTCAATTTATTTATGTTACAAATTCTGAAACTTAATTTGCCTTAAGCTTGAAGTATACTATACAAATAGTATTCTACTTATCAATCTAGTAAATTTCTAATTACTTTTAAAAAGTCCTTGTTTAATATTTATCAACTCAAGTTAAACCAACTAAACTCCCATAATTAATCAGTTTTATTTATAACTTAATTAAATTTCCTCAAGCCCAACTCTGTAAGCAAAAGTTCCCAATATTAAAAAAATTTAATCTCACAAATTAAATGAACTGTAAAATTCAAAGTTTCTTATCATTCCACTATAATTAACACATTTAGTACAATTCTTACCTCCTTTTCAACTAAATATCACAAATTTAAAATCAGCCACAGTATTTACACTGGAAGTATAAAACTAATCTGTAAACATTAGGCCACATTATTTAAGTATTTTAAATGTCAAATATATTCAAATTGTTTCTGACTTAGTACAGAATTATTAATGCTATGACATTTTTATTTTATTAACAACACTTCTAGTGTTTCTTATGGTTTGATATTCTCTCTCTCACTAAGCAAGCATTATCATTTCAAATGAACTGATGTCAAAATCCTAACAATTTGGTGTTATCATCTAATTGGCTTATTGTATTTAATGGTTATATATTTTAAGCAAAGACATGAGGTTAAATACAGAGTATTTATCCATCTATTGTTATGGCCATACCAATTTTTGTTATAATAGCGCTATAAAAACATCAAACTCAGTGTAGGTCTTTCAGAGGGAATATGTTCTGCAATGCAACTTCTTTTTCAATTTTTATGATAATCTAATTATTTTAGTTGATTTTTGTAAATAGAAATCCAGAATATCTCACTTGCAGTGTTAAAAACTTTTTAACATTCTCTGAAAACATGATAAAATGTGGTACTACACAGGACAGACATATAGATAAAAGAATAGAATTGATAGTCCAGAAATAAACTGATACATCTGTGGTTGAGTGATTTTTTACAAGGATATCAAGTCTTTCAAATAGAGAAAGAGTAGTCTTTTCAATAAACAGTGTAAGGACAACGGAATATTCATATGCAAAAAAACAAAGTTGAACCTCTCTCGCATCAGAGGAAAAAAATACCTCAAAATAGATCAACAACCAAAATCAAAACAGAGGCACAAATCTTTGTGATCTTACATTAGAAAATGATTTATTAAAATGACACTAACTAAAAGCACAATCAACCAAGGGAAAAACAAACAGATAAAATACACTTCGTCAAAATTGAAAGTTTTATGCTTCAGAGGATACTATAAAGAAAATAAAACCAACAAAATGAATGACATTTGTAACATTTGCAAATCATATATCTCATAAAGTACTTGAATCTAAAATATATAAACAATACTTGCAATTCCGTAATAAAAAGACAAATGACCCAATTAAAAAGTGGGCAAAGGAGTCTTATAGATATTTTTCAAAAGAAGATATAGAAATGGCCTATGAGCACATGAAAAGATGCTCAATATCATTAGTCACTAGGGAAATACAAATCAAAACTGCAATGAGATATCACCTTATGTCCACAGGACTGCCTTTAATCAAAGTGACATGCAATAATGCAATAAGTGTTAGTGAAGATGTGGAGACATTGAAACCTTCAAACATTACTGATAAGAGTGTAAAATTGTGCAGTCACTTTGAAAAAGAGTTTGACAAGTCCTCAGAAAGCTAAGTATAGACTTCCCACATGATCCAGCAATTCCATTTCTATGTATATACCCAAGAGATTTAAAACTTGTAC
Organism: Homo sapiens; assembly: GCF_000001405.40. Classification (NCBI taxonomy): domain Eukaryota; kingdom Metazoa; phylum Chordata; class Mammalia; order Primates; family Hominidae; genus Homo; species Homo sapiens. Next base: position 228,348,729 of record NC_000002.12, on the reverse strand, counting down.
ACATATGTTCATAGCACCATTGCTCTCACAAGCTAAAAAAAGGAAACAACCCATCCATCAACAGATGAATAGATAAACAAAATGTGGTATATTCATACAACATCATATTGCTTGGCCATAAAAAAGAAATGAAGTATGGGCTGGGAGCAGTGGCTCATGCCAATAATCCCAGCACTCTGGGAGGCTCAGGTGGGTGGATTCCTTGAGGTCAGGAGTTTGAGATCAGCCTGGCCAACATGGTGAAATCCCATCACTACTAAAAATACAAAAATTATCTGGGCGTGGTGGTGCACACTGTAATCCCAGCTACTTGGGAGGCTGAGACAGGAGAATCGCTTCAACCCAGGAGGTGGAGGCTGCAGTGAGCCAGTGAGCCAAGATCATCATTGCACTCCAGCCTGGGTGATAAGAGCAAAACTCCATCTGAAAGAAAGAAAGTAAAAGAAAGAAAGAAAAGAAAGGAAGACCGAAAGAAGGAAGGAAGGAAAGAAAGAAAAAAAGAGAGAGAGAGAGAGGGAGGGAGGGAGGGAGGAAGGAAGGAAGGAAGGAAAGAAAGAAAGAGAAAGAAAGAAAGAGAGGGGAAGGAAGGAAGGAGAGAGAGGAAGGGAGGAAGGGAGGAAGGAAGGAGAGAGAGGAAGGAAGGAAGGGAGGGAGAGAGGGAGGGAGGGAGGAAGGAAGGAAAGAAAGAAAGAAAAAAGAAAGAAAGAAAGAAAGAAAGAGAGAGAAAGAAAGAAAGAGGGGAAGGAAGGAAGGAGAGAGAGGAAGGGAGGGAGGGAGGAAGGAAGGAGAGAGAGAAGGAAGGCAGGGAGGGAGGGAGGGAGAGAGGAAGGAAGGAAGGAAGGAAGGAAGGAAGGAAAAGGGGAAGGGGAAGGGGAAGGGAAGATACATGTTACTGCATGGATGCACCTTGAAACTTTATACTCAGTGAAAGGAACCATACATGAAAGGCCATACACTGCATGATTCCATTTATATTAAATGTCCAGAATAGGGAAATCCATGGAGACAGAAAGCAGATTAGTGGTTTCCAGGGACTGGGGGAGAAGGGAATGGTCTGTGACTATTAATGGACATGGAGATTATTGTGGGGATGATGAAAATGTTCTGGAATTAGCTAATTGTAATGGTTGCACAACTTTGTAAGTATACTAAAAAACACTGAATTGGACACTTTAAAAGGGTGAATTTTATGGTATGTGAACTCTATCTCAATAAAAAAAAAAAAAAAAAAAAGAAAGGAAGAAACCCACAGAGTGGAGAAGTTTAAATACAAAAGAGTCAGAGGAACCAATACTGCTTGAAGAGGTTAAGGTGATCCAACATTAGAGCTATCAATAGAAGGCAACTCTTGGTGACAGCTCTCTGGAAGTAATTAAGCTTCAGCATAATGGAAATGGAAGAGAGTAAGCATCTCACTGGAGCTGATTTTCTAGGGAGATTTAGTCCCAAAGCAATCAAGGCTTGGAAAACTGTAACTAGGATTTAACGGTTGGCCATCAAGGAGCAAACTACTGTGTTTTTTTGATTTTCTTGTTTGTTTGTATTTTTGAGATAGAGTCTGGCTCTGTTATCCAGGTGGAGTATAGTGGTGCGATCTCAGCTCCCTGCAGTCTCAGCCTCCTGAGCTCAAGCAATTCTCCCACCTCAGTCTCCCGAGTAGCTGGGACTACAGGCATGAACCACCGTGCCCGATAATTTTTGTATTTTTGTATTTCTTATGGTTTTGGTAAAGACTAGGTTTTGCCATGTTTTCCAGGATGGTTTTGAACTTCTGGGTGCAAGTGATCCACCCAACTCCGCCTCCCAAAATGCTGGGACTATGGGAGTGAGCCACTGCACCCAGCCAAACTGCTGTGATTTTTAAAGTATTTGAGAAGGACAACCTATAATTAAACTCAAGCCTACTGTCATCCAGCCAGATGAAACTATTAGTCTTCATTATTTAGGCAGTAAATGTTAAAATAATTGCATTTTCCCCTGTGTGTTAGTGATGTACTAACTACAATTACAGACATATTTCTTGATTTTTATGGCCTAAGTTATAGTAATTAGATTTATCAAGTTGTCAAATATATGTATGTATGTCTATTTTCACTCCAGTGTATTCATATAATAAAGTATTTCCACTAGCCAAGATCTTTAATAATTCGTATGTATCTTCATGTAAGCATGATTCATAGGATTTAATCAACTAGAACATCTCATCCTCATCCTAAGTCTGTAATCTTAAATGTGAATACCTAAAGGGAACAAGAACTAGTAAGTCAAAAATAAAAATAAAAAAATTTGAAGTAGAGAGGTTTAATGATAGGAAGAGATGCAGACTATAGTAAAGTGCAGAGTTCGTGCCCCTCTAACCAGAACCCCTTTCCTCAGGCACAGCTAAGTAAAACATTTTTGCCCAATATATCCACATATTCCAATTCTTTGGAAGGAAATCCAGAATTGTAAAGTTCTATAAGGGAAATCTACTTTTTTATGTGTACATATATAAAATATAGCTTTTGACAACTAAGCTAAGAACAATAAATATCACATTTTTTATTTTTAAAATATTTATTTTATTTAAGACCTCTCTCCTTTGTCAGAAAAATATGACCATTTTGTCTCCAATAGTCTCAAGTCCAGTTTTCCACATGAGACTTCAGAGACTTCTGGTGACATTGTTATATTATTCAAATCTGTGCCATCTAATTGCCTAGATGATTGCTCAATTGTTTACCAGATCATTAACAGACTTTATATATCCTGTGTGATTAAATTTAACCAAGCAAGGTGTCAATTAATTTTTATATTTTAAAGTTAATTCTTTTAACAGAAATAAATAGAGTCGACTGAGTACAGTGGCAAATGCCTGTAATCCCAGCACTTTGGGAGACTGAGGTGGGCAAATATGCTTGAGCTCAGGAGTTCAAGAACAGCCTGGGCAACATAGCAAAATCCTGTCTCTACAAAAATACAAAAATTAGCTGGGTGTGGTGGTATGCACCCGTAGTCCCAGCTACTTGGGAGGCTGAGGTGTGAGGATCACTTGAGCCCCAGAGGCAGAGGTTGCAAGGACCCAAGATCGCACCACTGCACTCCAGCCTGAGTGACAGAGCCAGACCCTGTCTCTAAAGAAATAAATAACAAATAATAAGAGTCTAGTGTTGTTTATAGAGACTGACTTATTGCTCCCACCCTGAATTTCCAACTGGTTAGTAATGATTTCCACCTGGAAGTCAACAAAGCATCTCAAAATCAAAATGTAAGAACAATAGATTTATCAATCATTGTATTCACCATTTCTGTTTGACTCAATGCCATCAACATAACTCCCTGTTCTCTGTCTTACTATGCAATCGGTTGAGTCTCATTGTCACTCTGAAATATCTTTCACAGCCATCCTGTTTTCTCCATTGCCAGTACCATGGCAGTCAGAGCCTTTTTAACCTCCCATGTGAACAACTACAATAAATTTCACAATCTTTTTCCAGCCCCCAGCCAAATACCTATTTGGGGAATAAGAGTCATCATCAATTACCACAGTGATTGCTTTACTGTCCCACTCCAAAAACTTAAGGCCTCTCCATTGCTCATAAAACAAAGAACAAACTCTATGGCGAGGAAAGAAATTCACATTTTGTGAGTATGGATCATAAAATTACTTCTGGAGTCCACTGGACCTGAGTTCAAATTCTGGTTCCACACTTACTAGAATGCCTCTATTGAGTTACATTTCATAATCTCGAGACTCATTAACTATGCAATCAGGCTCTTAGCACTTATCTGAGAATAGGTTATTGTAAGAAAACATGAGAAAACTTTTGTGAAATAGCTAACATGGCTCCAGTAATTTGAATTGTACTGCCAGTAAGAAACTAGACCTGAAATTTTATCTTGTTCCCTGGCTCAGGAAAATGTTTTGATCTCCTGATTAAACTGCATATAGGTCTGAATCATGAGTAAATATCTGCTGAAGACAAACCAACAAGATTGTGCATAAGGTGGAATTCCTCAGTACAACGATGCTTATAGCCTTCCCTACCTTATCTGAGTGACCCTCAAAACCACAAAGCAATGACCTCATGCCAGACAATCTGCCCTTCATTGCTCCGAAAGAACATTCCTTTGTGTAACAATTGGAGAAATAGAAGTAATTTCATGAGAGCAATAATAAGAACAACCAAACAACAAGTATATCAGTAAAAGATGGGACCTTGGAAAGCTAGCAAAGGACTGTTGAATTTAGCCTCTCCAGTTTCTCAGTCTTTTATCTCTACTACACATTAAATTTACTACTTCACAACTTTTTTCTTAGTTTGCCCAACATATGGATTGAAATCTAAAATAGTCATTTATTTTCTGCTGTTTCTATGTTAGACTGTTTCAGTAGGTGTTGGAATCTGCATTTGCATTTGCTGCACCAACAATTTAAGATTACTTTTCCACTCTTCTTTGCAGGAAAACAAATGCAGTATGGTAATAAAATATTCCTAATTGTTAATGTCCTCGATATTGATGCAAGTAGAAGTTATTTCTCTTCTCATCTGAGAAATAGGCTGAAAGGCTCGCCTGACCTTAGAGGAATCTACCCATGGGAGAAGACTGATTTGCATCTTCCTCCGCTTTCCCATGCAACATAGCCAAGTGTTTATAGGTACAGTTTCTGACCATGAACAGAGCAAAAATTGTCAGTTCCTGTCTCTTGCCTTCAACTGGGTTTCCTGGAAACAGACTGAGACAAGAACTGTGTGCCCGTGTATTACTGGTAGTTGATTCCAAATGACATGTCTAAGGAAGGAGGAAGGCAGGACTGGGCAGAAGGGGAAGCTCACCTGCACTGTTGCTGCAATGAAGGCTTTAGCCAATTCTATAGCTAGAGAACTCCAGAGCTGGGATAGCCTTTCCATGTTGTCTCAAACTAAGAAAATGTGGCTAGACTTTTGTATCTTTGCACCAGTCAGTCATTAGCAGCAAGCTACCCTTGAAAGAGTGTATAGCCCTGGTCAAGTAGACCTTGTGGCTGAGGCTAAGTCCAGTGAGGGACAGAGATATGATCAGCAACTGATGTTCACAGTGGTCGGCAGTGGAGGAAATGGGTGTATTATCCCTAAAGAAGAGATCTGGTGTTCATTACAGATCCCCAGAAAAATTAAACCTTATGCCATGGATTCATTAGCTCTTATCTACTGAGCTAACCAGCCACATGAGAGTTGATTAATATGGTAGGGGGAGTAAAGTCAACCAGCTGATTTCAATGCTCAGAGCACCAATTCGTCTGGTTCAATTATATAACTCTGATGGGAGAAACACATGAAGGAAATGAAAGTGAAACTCTTAAGTTCTTTCTGAGCATAAAGTGTTAAGAGAGTAACATGAATTTTATTTTAGATACTCTCAATACAACTTTGTTAAATAAAATAATAAGTCAAAATTAATCCCAAATCCCTAAGCCACAGTTCAGTGCTCAGCATAAGTCTCCAGTGTGGCGGCACTGCTGCTAATTTAAAGCAGACAGATTCTAAGGTTTTTCTCAATACCATATCATTACTTCATTCACCCTTCTTAGTGTTAACTCCAACCCCTCTATTTATTGTATCTGCTCCCTTGTAACTTCTGATATCCCCCTAAAAGAGCTCTCCCAGGACTTTTTTTTTTTTTTTTTGAGCTGGAGTTTCGCTCTTGTTGCCCAGGCTGGAGTGCAATGGCGCGATCTCGGCTCACTGCAACCTCCGCCTCCCGGGTTCAAGCAATTCATTCTCCTGCCTCAGCCTCCCAAGTAGCTGGGATCACAGGTGCCTGCCACCATGCCTGGCTAATTTTTGTATTTTTAGTAGAGACAGGGTTTCACCATTTTGACCAGGCTGGTCGCGAACTCCTGACCTCAGGTGATCCACCGGCCTCGGCCTCCCAAAGTGCTGGGATTACAGGCGTGAGCCACCATGCGTGGCCCCAGGACCTCTTTAGCACCTCACTCGTGCAAGTGCCTGAACCCCTGCCACCTCACTTTGACCCCCTCCCTCCCTTATCCTCACTCTGTCGAAGATTGAACTTATACTTTCCAAGATGACTCTACTATTAAAGGAAAGGCATTAGACAGGGCAGAACCATCCTTCCCAGGTTGGCATGGCAAAAATTCACAATTGTGGCAACCTAAAGAACTGGGCTACAGAGGAAGAACTAACCAAATGGTTAATTCTCATGATTCATTGTTCTTGAATTTTCAGAATTAGGTACAATTGATCGCTCGCAGCATTTTCTTTAGGAGGGACTTTCCAGAAGTAGTGTTACTGAAAGGTTCAATTAGAGACACAAAATCATGGAAAGTTCTTTTCTTGGAATCTAGTCTCCAGGTTTTTCTTCTATCTTCCTGAAGCTTCTTCTGCATTTCTGTGAATGGCTCCTCTTCTTCTGTAGGCTGGAGGGTATCACCAGCAAAATAGTCAGAGTCAAATTTATTCTGGGTGAAGATTTTGCTACTTGCATAATATGAAGATAGAGTGTGGCAAGGGAATTGAGAATTTGTTTTTTTCATGAATGAAGCGTGCATATGTGGGGAGTTATTGCCAGTGAGAAAAGTTAAGGAGTCAGTGGATTGGAAGTTCAATGGGTCAAAGAATGGTTCAAATAGAATTCATGGGGTAAGCAAAAGATTGGATATGGTAAAGAGAGTAAGAGACTTAAAAATAGAGATTTTAGAATGATAATAAAAGGTCAAAGTATGACTGTATAAAAATATGATTGAAGCTGGATCTAGGCTAATGTGTTGGATAATTCATTTACATGAATGTATAAGATTAGTAGTGTAAAGAACAGTGAGACCGGGTACTTGAATCTTCAATGAATGAGAAGAAAACACTGCGATATTGGTAGACCACTACTGTAAGTGAGAGTAGCATATATTATGCCATTTATTTCAAAAGAATTATCTTTTGAAATTTTTTTACATATTTATTTATTTGTTTTGTGTAGGAAGGAGAAAAGGTATTAGAAATAGCAGTGTGGAACGAATAGCATTTCTACAGCACCTCCAGAATCTCTGGAAACTGTGTCATGAGGAGAAAACAAACATTTCTTAAAAGAACTGTCCACCAAACAGTGTCCTTAAGGAATTGCCACATTTTAATTACAGGAATATGGTAAAGGGAATGTTCAAAGAAATGCTTAAAGATATTATACATGTTACAAATGACTGTAAGTTGAAGAGGACTTTGAGAAGTTAGAGATATGTGAAAATTTGGGTCCAACTATGGTATTTCAGTCAGAAACTCAGCTGGTTTGAGTTTTCACTAGCTGGAGTTGTCTAAAACTACATTCTTGAAGGGTCTAAGTCCTCAGTACTCTTGATTGTTTCCATTTGTTGTAATTTCCCATTAAGTTAGTATCAAGAAGGGTCCCAGATAATCCCCTGGATTTTATACATAGTGCTTCTTGCCACCACTGTATAGCAGCAACCTAATTTCCTCCTGGTTATTGGAATCAAACACTTCAGCCGTTAGAGCAACCCCTTTTATTGTCTGCTGACAACTCCGTGGCTTAAGAAGCCCAGGTGGCCAGCTAATAGTCTCATCTTCAAATTCAATGGAAGTAGAGACTTATTCCTGTCAAAATGAGATGGTGGGGACCAAATTTATTCTTCCACCTGATCAAAAAGAACAAAATATGTTAAGCAAAATGTTCAAGATATGCAATATCAGGTACTGAACGAGATCCCCAAGAGATGAAAAATGAAATGAAATGAGCTCTATGGTCACCCCCAGACTACTGCCTGGAGCATAATTCCATAATATAGTGCTGGAGTGGGAGGAGACCTGGGTAGGAACTGTTGATCTCACTGTTAGGAGGAACCATAAAAATGGTTTGAGAAGGTCAAGATTGCTAGAGTTTGTAGGGTAGAGAGTAGGAACAACAAAGATGCTTATGCAGATAGCTCCTGAGATTTGCAGAGTAGCCCCCCTTGAGTTTTCAGCTGAGTAATGAGTAGCGCATGTAAAAAAGTAAAAAAAAACTACCAAAAATATATAAAAGGATTCAAGTGAATTATAAATACTCAGTGTTCACCAACGGCCAGAAACGGATTGTGTTCCTACCTTCTGAATGAAAGAATGCAAAATGAAAACCCTCATAATTCAAAGGGCATAGAGTAGAATAACAAGAAGGCTTTTACCTGAGTAATGGGGGGAAGATATTTCTAGAGTAAATTCTGCTCTGCTCCTGCCTTATTGAGTTTAAATGCAAGACCAGAAAAGACTGAATTGTTTTCAAGTAATTTAATTACATCCCACTGCTAAGCTTAAAAAGTACAGTTAGGTATATAAAAATATTCAGTATCCAATTTGGTAATTGCATGTCTGGTATCTAATCAAAAATGATCAAGCTGGAAAATAAGCAGAAAAATATGAGCCACAATGTAAATAAAAATAAGTCAGCAAAAACTGACTCAGGAATAACACATATGATATAATTTGCAGATAAGCACATAAAGCAAGCATTATAATTATGTTTCATAAGCTCCAAAATATAGAAGAAATTTGAAGACATGAAAAATATATTTTTAAAAGCCCACTCAACTCAAACTTCTAGAGATAAAAACAATAATATCTTACATGAAAAATACACTGGATAGGATTAACTGCAGCTAAGATATTGCAGAAGAAAAGATTAGTGAACTTGGAAAAACAGCATGAGAAGCTATATGAAATGAGAGAGATAAAAAACCAACAAAAAATAGCATAGAATAGAGAGTAGTGTGACAACATGAAGTGGTCTATTAAACCTGCATTTTTAATCTCCAAAGAAAGAGAGGGGTAAAAAACCAAAAAAATAATGGTTGAACAGTTTTCAAATTTGATGGAAATGATAAAGCTTTAGGCTCAAGAAGTTCAATGAAGCACAAGAAACCTGGAGAAAACTATACCATTCAACTTAAAGCAAGCAACAAAGAGAAAATATGACAAGCAGCTAGAGGAATAAAGAAACACTGTGTGCAAAAAACAAGCAAGAATAACAACAGACTTCTTGACTGGAATAATGAGGGCTAGAAGCCAGTGGAGCATCATCTTGAAGGCACTGAAAAAGAGAACTGCCATACTAAAATGCAAAAATATCTTTTAAAAACCAAGGCAAACACTTTTTGAGACAAATAAAAACTAAAAGAATTCATTACTAGCATACCTGCAGTATAAGAAATGTTAAAGGAAGTCTTTAGCAATAAGAAAAATGTTACTAGACAGAAATACTTATCTACATAAAGGAAGCAAGCATATTAGAAATTAGTATCTAATCTCTTTAAAAGGTAATTGAATTTTGAAAGGAAATGAAATGTTTTGTGAAGTTTATAACATACTTATAATTAAAATGTATAATAACAAGAGTCCAAATGTCAGAAAAGAAGAAGCAGATTCTTATAAAGTTTTTATATTGTATATAAAGTAGTATCACATAGCTTGAAGGTAGATTGTGTGTGGTAAGTTAGAGATGTATATTATAAACCCAAAGAAAGCACTAAAGTAACTTAACTATGAGATATATTTAGTAAGCTAATGAGAGGATAAAATTGGATTATAAATACCATTCAATTAATCCAAAAGAAGGCGCAGAAAGGATGTGAAAGGAAACAACATACAGGTGAAACAAATATAAAACGATTCAATGGAATCCTTGCTTTGTTACTTTATAGCATTTTTCCTTAGAGATTAAGACTTCAAACTAGTAGAACTCAAAATATACCTGGCATAGGAAGCAAAAATTCCTCCAGTTAAGTTTTCAAGTGTGATAGTAAGAGTGGCCATTTCTACTTCAACTCCTTGGTAATTTGGAACTCATGTATTCTGACTACGTGAGAAAGAGCATCATGTAATGGTCTCTAATTCAGGACATATACTGCATCCTTTGAGGCAGAACCCCATATTTTAAGGATGCTGTATCCCTGTAACTAAGTTTTCAATAAGACTTCCATCTGTCAATTAGGTCACGTGCTCTGAAGTTCTTGGACACTGGTGGGATTTCTGGAAACTGCCTCTAGGGAACTGATTCTGCTAAATTCTCTGGAAGACAGGAGAATTCACTTGGGAGCCACCGGTGTGGGTATTACTGAAACTCTCTTGGGATGGACACCACTTGGTGTCCCACATGCTAGTTGAGCACCATGGAGCAAGAAAAGTGAAAAGCACAATAGAACCAGGAAGAAAAGCCTCTTCCTCCCGCAGTGTCTCTCCAGTGCCTTTTACTGACAAAGCTTAGCATCATTGCCAGCTGACAAGGGAGAAATACTTGCAAGGTCCAACACCAGTGTCACAAGACAGGATAATAAAGGGTATACTGAGAGGCAAGAGGAAATAAAGTGATAAGTGGTACCTGGGCTCACTCCTATTTCTACTTCCTGATTCTCAGATAATGTAATCTATGTACTGGGAACACACCATCATAAAATAATTGTTAATTTAGGGTGTATATATAGTGTATCCTGGAATGTGGTTCCCCATATTCACAGAGAATAATCTCTATGTGGAACATCAGCTATGCCTTAAAAAGGCCATGCCATCGATCTATCAGGATGGCAGGTTCTGGTGACTGCAGATTGTGAGCCCCATCATCATGTTCCCAGTCATATCTCCTTTGCTGTAAAATGTAATCCTTGCTAAATCAAACAGTGAGTCCTCAGATAGTGGTAGTGGTTTAGGTCTTGAGTACGTAAACAGCAAACCTGTAATTATTGATAGAAGATGTGTTGTTTCTGACCAAGATGAGTAAGTGCTCCTTCCAGGATGGAAGTTGCCACTTGATGACTTGTTTGTCTCCTTGAGAGATGGGATCCCAGAGTAGTCTTTGTTGGGGAATGTTGAATACCCAGCAGTGGAAGTAGCTGTGTCAGCCTTGGTGAGTGGGAACCCAAACTATCAGGCTCATGGCCACCTCTATCCTTGACACCCTGGCTGCTCTGTTTATGCACCCACTATGCCAGCATTAAGATAACCAATAATCCCAGTACTTTGGGAGGCCAAGGCGGGTGGATCACCTGAGGTCAGGAGTTCAAGACCAGCCTGACCAATGTGGTGAAGCCCCATCTGTATTAAAAATACCAAAAAATTAGCCAGGTGTCTTGGTGTGTGCCTGTAGTCCCAGCTACTTGGGAGGCTGAAACAGGAGGATTGCTTGAACCCAGGAGACCGAGGTTGCAGTGAGCCAAGATCATGCCACTGCACTCTAGCCTTTTCTTTCCAGAAAAGAAACTGGACTGTATCAACGGACCAGTTGATCCTGTCTGCTTGGTAATTTTGCTCATCTTCCATAGTTGATATTATTTGGTGTGTGAAAATGCGCAACACAAAGATTTTCAACTTTGTGCCTCAGTCTGTTCTAATTTATTTTCCCCAAATTAATTTATTCCTAATCTCTCATTTTTGCCACTTCCCATGAGAGCATATGTATTCTTACCCTGGCTAGCTTATATTTCCACACAATGTGTATGACCAGGGACATTATCCAAAATTCTGACTATTGGGAGGGTTTCCCCACACTGTTAGCTTTTGAGGACACTCTGAATTAAGGCTGTACCTCACACCCTAAGGATATCCATTTATTAATCAAGCTTGGCCTTTTTTGGATCCTCAGTTATAGTTATATTTCTGAGCTGATGGAGTAGAAATTGTACAATAATAGCAAAGGGCATGGGAGTGCATTGCTCATTCTGCTTATTTGTACCCTCTGGCCTGCTCATACCTGATCCTGATGGTACCACTTTAGACTTATGATAGACTGCTGTGGGTCTTCCCAGCTTACGATCTGGTGGATTTGACAGGATCCAGATTATGATGAGTAGGTCTGGACACATGGTCACTTGATGTCAAATATTATTATTCTGTGAAATTACTGTACATTTTAAATATAATTGCACAAAAATATTTCAGGCAATGTCAGAAGTAAAAATCACTATTTCTAGAAGGGCTCAGATAACCATATGGCAACATGCACAACAATAGCCAAATTCTATAAAGTCAGGTGAGCAATAAAAGGGTTGGAACTAAAGAAGTAGCAGAAAAGATCAAAAGAAGGGAATAATTAAGACATATCTAAAAGTATCAACAGTATCGGGAAGAAAACATGAAGTTCACATGATACCCCAATGCTTCTAGAAAAGTCACAAATGAGTAAACAAGGAATATTATAACTGATATGTGTGATTCAGATAAAGACTAGGGTGGTACATGAAAAATGGCTTAAGTCAAGGGTGTAATTGAGACTAGATCAACTTTACAATGTCCTTTCTCAAATTCTCAGTACCTGAAAATATTGGATCTATCCTGAGGTCACAAAGCCAAAGTAATAGAAAGGTTACATAAATCTTTGTGTAAGTTTAGCATATAATTAGTATTTGCTTGAGACTTTTGCCAAGTGATACTGTTTCTCTGTATCTATTGTCCACATGTACTAAGTAAAGATAAAATTAGTAACTCATTTCATGCTGCTGCTTTGAAAATCAGGATTCTTATATAGGTACCCTTGGGCAAAGCACTTGGGTTTATTCAAATACTTCTTGGTGCTTAAAGCAAAATAAAAACACAGAAAACACCTAAAGTGTTTTTGTGACTATTCTGGTTATTCATTGTTACATAATAAACCATCTTAAAACTTAGTGGGTTAAAATGACCATTTATTATTATTGGTCATGTTTCCATAGGCTGACTGGAATCAGCAGGGTGCTTCTCATTTGGGTCTTTCTTTAATGCAGTAATTATTGATTACAGATACAGATATCTGGGACTGCAGTCCCCTGAAAGCTAGACTAGGCTGGATGTCCAGAAAGGCTCACTCATATGGCTCTCAACTTCTGCTAGATGTCTCTTGGGAGCTTAGCTGGAGCTGTTGACCAAAGTCCCTAGACACAGTCTACAGTCTGTATGTGATCTGAGCTTCTAAGAGCATAGCTGATGGGTTCCCAGGGGGAGTTTACCAAAAGCAAGTGTTTCCAGTGTCAGGAAGCTGATGCTGCAGGCTTTTTAAGGGCTATATAGAACTTCAGTGTGTCATTTTACCCAATTCTATTGGCCAAAGGAATTATAGGGCCTGCCCAGGGGGCTGGAGAAGTAAACTTCACCTTTGACAGGGAATGTCAAGGTCATGTCCTTGAACCACAAGTGAAGAGTAGATATTGTGAAGTCACCTTTGGAATACAATCAGCTGTAATGATTTAATTCAATAAATTCTGTGACAAATAGTGCTTCCTCTAAAATGAGCTTATTTCATGCAGGGAGCAAGATTTATGACATTTTTAACCTGTTTGTGAGGAGAAAGACTTTTCTAGTATGACTTTTGACAATGTGTCACTGGTTTATCAAATTAATTGGCAGTTCATGGGAAACACTGCTGTCTAAGAAGTCAATAAACTATAATTTTCTTTAAAACCAGTTTATTGATTGCCATTTCAGTAAGAACTCCTTGTTTAGATCTCGTGCAATGTTCTCTGAAAGAAGCTAATGGCTGAAATGACTATAAGAGGCATTGAGAGTTTGTTATATGGGTTGATGATTTGTTACATGGATTGAGAAAATCACTGTATGAATAGAGAATGGAACAGATTCCCCTTCTTAGAGAAAGCAGATAAATCACTAAAAAAGTAGAATTTTATGGGTGTAAATTAAGGTTTTACAGTCATTTCAAATTGGATTTGAATTCTAGCTGTGTGTGCCCCAAGAAACAGTTCCCTTTTTGAAAAATTTAGATAATACCTACCTTAATGAATTCTGGCAAGCAATAAATGAATGCATTTTTCTTGGTTACCACTTTCATTATAACATTTTTAAAATTATGTTTTCTATCATCTTTAGTGAGAAAATAATCACATACACAGTGCACCATTTTTTCTATTCGCTGTACATTTTTAGGGCTGTTTCTATATTAGCAGCATTTTTGTGGTTTAATATAGAATAGACATATTTCCAAAAAGTGTAAAGCTGGAGAGTAACATCAATGTATTTCTCCAATTTGAACTAATATACCTATATGAAAACAAGTCTTATTTTGTATTGATTTTTATCCTTTTACTTTCCAATATCATAATACTTCTTACAGAAGTACTCCCAAGAGCTTTGTAGAAATGAAACATTAAATAAATATTTATAAATTTAATAACTTTTTAATACTAATAATATTCATCATCATTAAATTGTACTTTTTAAGTTACCATTTACGTGCTTCTATTAAGGGAGCAGAATTATGCTGCTATAAGAGGCAATAAACACAAATCATTCTAATATCCCTAATAATTATCAGCATTAATTTCATCTGTGTCATCAGATTACTTTAATGGTTTGCAGTTGCTGATTGTGTCACTCCTGTTCCGCTGTCAGTCCTCAGTATCATCAGTCAGGTATTTGACCTTACACTCAGACCAGAAATAGCACTTGCTAAAATTGTGAATGGCATATCTTAGTGCTAATGATGATTTTATGGCTTTTGGAGGGTAGCTAAATTTCAGTTCTTGTTACTGATTGAACTTATCACTTGTTGGTCTGATAAATTATATTTGGGGTTGGAATATAAACTAAGGGCTGTATTTATTTGACTACTAGTAACTTCTCTTTTAGCACATTGCAGATTAAGATTTAAGACACTATGGACTATTAAAAGGGGAAGGAAAGGAGGGGGTTACAGGTTGAAAAAGTACCTATTGGATAGTATGCTCACTACCTGGGTGCAATATACTATGTAACAAAACTGCACATGTATCCCTGTATATAAAATAAAAGTTGCAATTTTTAATAAAATTGAGAAAGTAATACCCTAGGAAAACTTTATACAAAATTTATGAGATGACATTCAACAGTAGTATATATACAGGCCTACACTCAGATTCAAACCGAATCATAAAGAACTGGATAAGAGAGATCCTGGTTAAGATCACCTCATATGAAGAAGCTGCTTAAAAACTCAATAAAAGCCAAGAAAAGAAAACCATGATGTAGATTGCATTAGTCCATTCTCTCATTGCTATGAATAAATACCTGAGACTGGATAATTTATAAAGAAAAGAAGTTTAATTGGCTCACAGTTCCAAAGGCTGTACAGGAAGCATAATGCTGGCATCTGCTCAGCTTCTAGGGAGACCTCAAGAAACTTACAGTCATGGCAGAAGGCAAAGAGAAAGCATAGACACCACATGGCTAGAATAGGAGCAAGGTGCAGGGAGGTGCTACCCACTTTTAAATGAACAGATGTCACAAGAACTCACTCACTATCATGAGGACAGCACCAAGGGGATAGTGCTAAATCATTCATGAGGGATCTTCTCCCATGATCCCATCACCTCCCACCAGGCCTGACCTCCAACACTGGGGATTACAATTCAACCTGAGATTTGAACGGGGACACAGATTCAAACCATCTCATAGATATATTAAACACTGAAATCTTAGGCTGCATAAAAAAGCATAGTATCTTTATTTATTGTGGTACAAGCCACTGTACCTTGTTTCCATAGTTTTTAAAAAGTTAAGACATGTAGCACAAAACATTACAGCAATATCATGAACACAGATACACAGGCTTATGAAAATGAAAAAGAAGTGGCATGATAAAATAAAGCAGTAATAACAGGGATTTTTTTTTCTAACCATAATAGATTAGTTGATATCTGACCTGCCATCCAGTGGCAAGTAACTATATGTTTATGTGTGTGTGTATGTGTGTGTGTGTGTGTGTGTGTGTGTACAACTGAAGTCATTGATCAGCAATCAATACTAAGATCCTCAAAAGAAGTGATGATACATCAGGTTAGCCTACATTCATTCTTGCTTTCTCATTCAGGACATTTTTCAAAACTATGATGCAAGAAAGAAAACATCAGTCCTTCTAGGTTGAGAAAACAAAGACTAAAGTTTGGGTTGCCAGGGCAGTTGGAAATGAAGGGCACGTTGTTAGAGAGGAGGGACCCACAGAAAAGACCTGAGTGTGTGCAAAAAAATTTACTTCAATGCACAGGGAAAGACTTTGGAACACTGAGCAAGGAAGAGCCACCAGGAGCCCAGAGAGATGAGCATAGATTTCAGAAATCTCCGCATGATGGAGACTTACTGGAATTCAGGTATAGCTATAAGGAGAGACCCTGATGAATATCTTGGGCTTTCTGTTGAGACTAATGGAGTAGGCCATGCCCTGGAGTAAGAATCATGATTTAAGGCTAAGGACAAAGCTAAATTAGACATAACAAGCTTAGGTCCAAGCCCCCAACAGGATTGCTAGTAATTTAACTTTCTTTTAGAACAAAACTTAAAATCCTTTAGAATAGATTCGTATAATCTAGGTGCTCTATAACATATCACAATAAAAATTATTTTTAGATAAAAATAATTAGACACAAAAGAGGCATAAAATGGCACCAATAATTAAGAGAAAAAATCAACAGACTGAAACTCAGAGATTATTCAGAATTAACAAAGATTTAAAAATAGTTATAATCAATATGCTAATCAAAAAGAAGAAAAATAAAAAAGGTGAAAATTTTCAAATAGAACCAGATTTTGTAAAACAGAATTAAATGGACATTTTGGAATTGCAACATACAATATCTGAAATTAAGAACTTTTTGAACGTTTGTAATAGAAAACTGAACAGCAGAAAATATCAATTTTTGAACTTGAGACAGGTGAATAGAAAATAACCCAACTAAACAACAGTAATAATAATAATAGTAATGAGCAGAATGTAAGAGATATATGAGAACCCATCGCAAGAAATGTGTCACCTTTCCATGTGAGTGTTCTATTGAACACTGCTCTTTTGAAAAACAACTGCAAGGTAATAGAGGTAAGATTCGATTGAAGAATAAATAACTATAATGTGGTAGCAACAGAGGCTTCAGGCAGTCCCAGAGTGTGCTCTGAAGCTGAGTTGGCTCTTCAGGGATGCCCATACTTGAGGCAGGGGGCTGGGCTTCTGTTTTCCAAAATTAACCGGGTATTAGATGCACTTGTTGCTGGGAAGAAAATATAAATGTCAAAGAGGTAGTTGCCTTTAACTGAGGGCAAAAATATAAGGAGACACTCAGGTGTAAACAATGAGCGACCATTCCCTACAGACACAAAAATGACTGCCTTTTCCTGAAAAGCGTATCACACCCCAACACACGATGATAGCAGCAATTAAAAGGCCCAACATGTGTGTAACTGGAGCCTCCCAAAAAAAGGAGAGATTGAGTAAAAGCAACATTTGAAGAACTAATGTCTGAAAATTTCCAAAATCTGATAAGAACAACATACAAATTCAAGAAGCTCAGCAAATTCCAAACAAAAAAGTAATATATCATAGTTTAATAGCTAAAAATTAATACAAATAGAAAATATTAAAAATGGCCATGAAGGGGGAAAGCCTTATGGTGGTAAAATTAGAGAGAAGAACATGAATAATGGAATGATCCAGTGCTTGGGACATTTTTTCATGTTTCAGTCACCATACTATGGAAAGGATATTAACAAATTAGAAAACAACAAAAAGAGATGAACAAGATGGTGTGGTCATCCAAAAACCATGCTACAGTTTAGAAAGACCCAGCTGCAGATGACAGGCTTTAGAATAATATCTATTTCCAATAGTCAGTATCCTGGAACATACACTAATATTATTTTGTGAAGTTTGGAAGAGCAGAAATAAAACCAGTGGGAGGAAGCTTTCAGCAAATATAAGTAAAATATTTGTAAACTAATAATGGAACTAGTTTCCTTGTGGAGAAGTCAGCATGCTGTTATAAGAAGTATCCGGAGAGCAGTTAGCCATTCATCTGCCCAGGATCATAGAAAATTCTCAAATTATGTGTGATGGAAAGAAATGTCCTCTAAAGTCAATTGCAATCCTAAAGGTCTAAGTCAAAATTTGTTTTGTTCTTTTTCTACTCGAATAAATGTTCAAAACTTAAGCCATTGCATGTCATTCATGAGGTGTAGGTCATAATAAATAGATATATTTTGAAGTACTTTGTATAGAACTAAAATTTGATACATTATTAAACAATCTTAAAGAGACACAGTCTGTCCACATACGCACTGAAATGTGTGTTTGAGTGAGCAAATCTTTGGTTTGGGGAGGAATTTTTCCACAATTCTTTAATATGTACACCCCATATCTAGTACATATGGCAAAAGGGAAAGCTAGAAGCTGACTGGCAAGAGCTCCTAAAAACATTAATATTGCCTTTAGCAATTAGTTTGTGTCTTAAGCCATTCGTGCTGCCATAACAAAATACCATAAACTTGGTAGCTTATAAACAGAAATTTAGTTCTCACAGTTCTGCAGCAGAGAGAAGACAGGGCAATTTTGGTGAGAGGAACACAAGAAAGGATGGGGAAAGCATAAGGCATTCTTGGAGGATGGGAAGTAGAAACATTTTCTCTTGGATAACCCAATTGCTGAAAGTCATAAATGTACATTCCGCCAGTGTCAAGACATCTTGGTCTAAGAGCATTATTACTGGCTTAATCCAACATCTAATTATGCAAGATTTACTTTCTTTGTATAATGACAGCTTCTTATTTTTTATTAATCCAAAAGAGGAAGTACACCTGAGTTTGTCTTCAGGCAAAAATGAGGCAATGTTTCTTAGCTATTACCTTGAGTGGAGCAGGTGATATAGTGTCCTTTGAGCTCCCTTTCCTATATAATCTAAAAGCGAATCTTTACTCTTATAGACTACTAGAGTGCTGCCAAAATGTTATTTTGTTCATCTCTTCTTAACAAAGTAAGACCATGGCTGATCTAACCTCTAGACTCTTTAACCATGAGGGGGAAAATTTCACTTGGCTAAGAATTCAATTCTTCGACATTTCTCCTAAATTCAAGAATTAGCTTCACAGTTACTTTTTGATGTGGTGAACGTGGACACCTTTGTTTTGAGTCTGGACTTTTCTCCCCATGGATTATTATCAGACTATATTTTTAAAGTGTTGCGTTCCCTGCAGAAGGCATGATATCCTCGGTTTTCCTAATAATTACTTTTATTTTTATTGTTGTTCAATTTTAATATTTTATCATCCCATCCAAGCAATCCTGTCTTCCATGTATGATTACCTCTCTATCCCCCAATAATTTTTTTTCTAATAAAAAAAGCGAAGCAACACAGCGATTAGAAAGAAACAGTCTCAGTGAGTTATAGATTTCACTTTAACCTTAAGAACAAGCCTGAAAATTGTTCTCCAAATGGATAAATTGAGTCCCAAAATAGTAACACACTTGTGCTGACAGATGGAAGAATGTGCATGGCAACTGCGCCTGAAGCACTTCCATCTGTCACCAGGTCTCTGCTGTGTCTATACACTCAAAATTACTCTGTCCGCTCTCAGGCAGTTGTGCAGGTTTTCTTCATTCATTTCACTGTGAAGTGGACTAAACTGCTCACAAGGATCTCTGCAGTAAGAATAATTAAAAATATAACCAGAGAGTCTATCTGTATGGCACCGAAACTTTATCAATTAAAGATATCACCTCTCATGGTTTTCCCCAGATAATACAATTAAGAAAAAAAAAGAAAAAGAAAAAGAAGAGGGTAAGTGGAGTGCAATGGAGCAGGGGAAAAGAAAGGAGAGAGAAAAATCTCCCAGCCAAGCATCAAGAAATACTGCTTTCTTTCCTTCTTTAATAAGAAAAGTCTTTTCATTTTTCATTTTCTTCCTCCTTATACAGTAAAAAATAAATAAGCCATATGAATGTCAAAAATCGAATTCATTGTTCCTATTTGTAAGCAGCATGTAAATATGAGCTTTGAGTCTATAGCCAGGCCACCTGGGTTCACATGCAGGCCCTCTGCTTACCCACACTGGAACCTTCAGCAAATATTTGGACCTTTTTGTCCCTCAATTTTCTCATCTGTAAGATGAAGATGAATCAACATACCTATTCCAATATTAAATCAACAAATATAGATATAAACCTCTTAGAGCAGTGCCTGGCACATGATCAGCTCTCATAAACTTGGCCTGGCCACCTAGCCTGTTGACACCCATGTAAACCTGACCAGGCCCCACCACCTGTTGCGGGACGTCGGGGACCCCGAACGGAGGGACCGGCTGAAGCCATGGCAGAAGAACATAAATTGTGAAGATTTCATGGACATTTATTAGTTCCCCAAATTAATACTTTTATAATTTCTTACGCCTGTCTTTACTGCAATCTCTGAACATAAATTGTGAAGATTTCATGGGCATTTATCCCTTCCCTAATCAATACTCATGATTTCCTATGCCTGTCTTTACTTTAATCTCTTAATCCCATCATCTTCGTAAGCTTAAGATGAATGTCGCCTCAGGACCCTGTCATGATTGCATTAATTGCACAAATTGTTTAAACAATATGAAATCTGGGCACCTTGAAAAAAGAACAGGATAACAGCGATGTTCAGGGAACAAGGGAGATAACCATTAGGTTTGGCGGCCTGAGAGCCAGGCGGAACAGAGCCATATTTCTCTTCTTTCAAAAGCAAGTAGGAGAAATATTGATGAATTCTTTTTCTCAGCAAGGAACAGCCCTGAGAAAGAGAATGCCTGCCTAGGGGTAGGCCTCTAAAATGGCCGCTCTAGGGAGGGCTGGCTTTACGGTTGTAGATAAGGGATGAAATAAGCCCAGGTCTCCCGTAGTGCTCCCAGGCTTATTAGGATGAGGAAATTCCCGCCTAATAAATTTTGGTCAGACTGGTTGTCTGCTCTCAAACCCTGTCTCCTGATAAGATGTTATCAATGACAATGCATGCCCGAAACTTCATTAGCAATTTTAATTTCACCCCGGTCCTGTGATTTCACCTTGCCTCCATTTGCCTTGTGATATTTTATTACCTTGTGAAGCATGTGATCTCTGTGACCCACACCCTATTCGTACACTCCCTCACCTTTTGAAAATCACTAATAAAAACTTGTTGGTTTTGTGGCTTAGGGGGCATCAAGGAACTTGCCAATATGTAATGTCTCACCCAGATATCCAGCTTTAAAATTTCTCTCTTTTGGACTCTTTCCCTTTATTTCTCAGACCAGCTGACACTTAGGGAAAATAGAAAAGAACCCACAAAGAATTATCGGGGGCGGGTTCCCCCGATAACCACCTTGACTGGACATGGCACAGATACACACAGCGGAGGCTTCTGATCACCATGACCCCAGGTGGGCTCCACATAACCACAGTAGAGCATCTACTGCCAGCCAATGCCCTTCTGACTGCAAGCCCAAAGATGGTCCACTCATCATCAGTATCAAGAGGCTTTGTTTTCCTAATATGAGCAGTTTGTGACATTTTGGCTTTAAAAGATCTATTTCACTTCTCCTGTCCTGACCTTCCTCCCCAGAGCCTAGAGTCTGGTTCTAAGCTCAGGAGTAAAACCTTCCCACACAGTGCTCAGTCTCTGGTCACTTGGTGTGTAAATTTCTTTGTATGTATGTGTGTATGTATTTTTATATGTGAAAACTATGTAAAGTTGTGGCTTTTCATATTTGAAGATCTAGGAAAAAAATAGTTTCAATACAATTTAATAGAATTGCAATGAGTTTGTTTGGGTTTGTCATCTGGGAAGCATGAAACCTAATAAGTAGGTGATGAAGGAAATGCCCTGGTGTTTGAACAGTTGTACCACACAGGTTATTCATTCACATATAGTTCAATAAGGGAGGCGGAATGGGAAGCTAGGCCTTGACCAGAGGACCCATTGTTTTTCTGCTTTTCACTTATAAAATTAAACTTCTCAACAAGCCAGTCACAAAGAGGCTTGCTCCCACCATGCATGCCCCCAACCAACAGCACCGAGTCTGCTTCCAGGCAGTGGACGAGCAGGGCTGAGAACTTGCCCCAGGCTAGCCAGCATCCCAGCTGTGAAAGCGAGTGGGGCTTTGTTCTTCCCCACCTGTGGAGTCTGCACACTGGATTCACACCCTCCCCTAAGTTCTGGCCAAGAGACTTCTTGTTCAGTTAAAATTGTTACAAAGTTCAGCTGGAGGTTTCCTTCACCCTGTGATCTTTTCCCAGTACCTCTTGCAGCCTTCTGCAAGGACCCTTGAGGGGCAAGGCAAAAATGGCTTCCTAGGAGACCCAGAGAAACCACAGGTCTTTTCCTGCTGCTTCTTCTACCCCTGTATTTCCCTCGTCTGTCTAAACTGACTCAGTTCCAGGTAAGTTCAGAATCTTCTCCTGTGATCTAGACTTTCAGGTTCTCCAGTGAGGGTATGTGTTTGGGGGTGGATGATCTCCCTTTCCACTTCCACAGTTTGGGCTCACAGTATTTGGGGTATCTCCTGGGTCCTGCAAGAGCAATCCACTTCCTTCAGAGGGTCCATGGCTTCTCTTGGCTTTTCTGATTTATTCCTGCAGTAGTTCTGGAGCAAAAGTTCATGATGCAAGACTCCACACACTGCTCTGTCCATCTGAGTGGGAGCTGCAATCTAGTCCTACCTTCCATCTGCCATGATCTTCTTGATTTGAGGCTTTCATGATTCTTAATTCTCTTAATAATAAATCCATGAAACATTCAAAACATTGGACTTACATTTGTATAGTAAGTACTGTGTCCCCAAACAGTTAAGACTACATTGACAGGAACTTGATAAAAATAGATTAATGGTGACTTTACAAAAAGTGTGTTGGGTTTGTTAGGGAGAAAAAAAGAAAGAGTGCTATGATAACCAATACTTTCACCTTCTGTCTTTGTCTCTTCCAGGTTCTCATGCTTTCTGAGTACCATCATTCAATTCAGGAGTTTGAGTACCCATCACCATCCAGACTGAGACACCAGAGATGGGGTCAGAATGGCTGAGAAGTATGTGCTACCTTTTGTGATAAAATAACAACTGTGAAAAGAAAAACACACAATAATTCCTTTCTCTTCTTACTCATTCTTTCTGTTTTCTTAGTTTTTTTGAAGAATGTTAAATCAATAGAGCCCAAATGCCTTGAAATCACCCAAACAAGGAAACCAAGAAATAGAAAACCTAGAGGATCTTAGCTGTGGCTATGAATTGATCTTTCTGGTTATAAAGATTAAAAAAACTATCTGCAGCAAGCAGGAAATTCCTAGATGCTGCCTGCAGGCAGGTGAGCAGTCTACACTGACCCTAAGAGTAGGAGAAAGACATAAAACTCTTTTAGTTGTGCAGAATGAGGGGTAATAAGATTGAGAGCCTTCTTAATTATAAAATTCAGTGATCTTGTAATCCATCCATCTGGCTTAAAAATGGCGAGGGTAGAACCAAGTCAATAAGCACTGGGCAAGTCTCTCTCCAAGAAGCCCTGCTCCACCTTCCTCTGGTTTCTTCCCATCTACACCCCTGGCCTTCTTTATAAGCCATGATCTCCCCAGTCCCCAGCCCCAATCCCCGCTCTTGCCTGGGTCTGAGGCAACATCTGGCACAGCTCAGCACAAGTAAGAAGCGGTTGTATTTAAGCATCCCATCCCCTCTCAGAAAACCTCAATTTTCTAGTCTCATGTACACTGATAACATATTTTTGCATAGGTTTATTATGTAGCATAATGCCCAGCACATTCTAAGACTATATAATAAATACTTATTGAATGTACAAATAAATGGATTGACAAATTTGAGCATCTTGCAAATATTTGACTTTACATTTCAACATACATTTTCGTATTCATTTTTGATTCTTACACATGGAAAAATCTCCATATATGTTAAAGTGCTTTGATAAACTTGCCCATGCAACATTAGTCCATTTAAAATGTAATTGGTAGTAATACTGTTTAAATATTAGCTTCTGTTTGGAAATACAATAATTCAACATAAGAAATAAAACATCTAGGACAACAAATAAGTAAATTAAAAAGTGAGTATATCTAAATTATTTAAGTGATGATTAAATATCCCATATTCCTTTGATAATTTAAACTGAGCCTCATTTTATTTTTCTCAATACTATTTTTCTAAGACTTATTTTAATTCATTGTGACTTTAAACAGAGTAAAATCAATGCTGAGTAGGATACTAATTTCCTGAAACATAAAGTCTGTAAAGACTTTACTGTACTTAAAAAAAGTTAACTGTCAGAACTTTTTATATTATAAAATTTGGCCATTGTTTTCCATATATGTTGCAATTGTTTTGTACATTTATAATTTGTTGTTTGACCTTTTAAATACTCATCCTGAACATTTAGAATGTTTTATTTTTCAAGATTCAGACTTATAAACATGTTTTTGTGTGGCTTGTCATTTTAGTGATGTAATCAACCTAAAATTTGAAAAACAATTTCTCATCTTTTCTTCTAGTATATTTTGTATTTAAGAAAACATTTTAAAAATAAATTTGATTTATTTATAATACATGTTGGATTTAATTCAGGCAAATATTTTAAGAAAAACATTTCTTCTGATTTCTTCCAATGCATATTGGATTTTTTTTGTATTTTGATTTTGATCCACCTGAAATTTCTTTAAATTAGTCAAATGCCATGAGAATTTTTCTTATTTTCTTTCTAAATAGCTAGCCAGTTATATCAATATCATTAATTGATTAAATCCATGTTTTTACCAACTATTTAAAATGCCAAAGTTATTATAAATATTCATAAACATTTCAAGAGTATTTATTCGGTTCTGTTGGTTTGCTTCTCTTTTTTCCTCCCAAGTGTTTTAATTAATGTAAAATTTTGATACACTTTAATATCTTGTCAAACCTGCCATTACCTGCTCCTATTACCCCTCTTTTTCAGACTGATCCTGATATTTTTGCATAATTCTTTTTCCAAATAATGTTCAGCTTCAATTTTCTTAATTGTAGTAAAGAGTTGGCAAAATAATTCATAAAAATTGGTAACAACGTTACATATTGGGGAAGTATTTCAACAATCAATTGTGCCATAGAAAGTTCCTCCTTCCCTCCAGGCAGGAAACAACTGTGACTGTCATAATTCATGTACAGGGATCTTCTTTCTTCACATTTGACTTGGATTTTATTGAACCAGCTACACTTTGTCACTTGATTTCCTTTAAGAACAACAATATGCCTTTGTCAAGAGGCTATCTGGAGCTTCTCCGGGAAGATACTTGAGGTATTGGAATGGATCATAACTAAGGGCCACTGAGGGATTAGCTCATCCTTGGCTAGCAGTGACTATTTTCTCGCCACCTGCACTAACCAGCCATTGGTGTCTTATATACAATTTTCTTCCTATTCTTTTCATACCACCTAGAAATTTCTAACAGGAATGGATACTGAATTCCTTTGATCCATATTCATGTTTATTTAGAAATGTGAGGTTCAATCGATTCAATGGGATACAGTGAAATATTTTAATTTTAACAGTAAAGAGGCTTTCAAATGAATGTTAACCTTCTGAAGTATGTGTTGCTATACACCTGACTTAGATACAAGAACATATAAACATATAAAGATGTGGATTTTCTATAAATTTTACTTCAGGAGAGCGGGGGAGGAATCACCAAACATGTAGTTTAAAAGGAAGGGTGTGTGATAGGGATGAATTTACTGCCTGGCCCCTCACTCCCAGACCCTTGCTTCTGTACAGAGCTGAGACCATCGTCCTCAGGCGTTGCAGTTCGGAACGAGTGCCTCCATAACCCCTTATATTTGAAATCTGTGTTGGCATCTTCCTAAGTCTTGAAAAAAGATACATTCTCTGCTTTATGATAAATAATATGGTCAACCAGCAATCTTTCTTTAGCCCAGAGTCACACCTCCAGATTGGAAAAATACTAAAGAAAAACAAAGATAGAGTCCTTGCTGGTGAGAAACTGATCCGCTCTTTGTTCCTCTTTGAGAAGACTAGAACCCTGTACTCAGTCTTTTTTTTGCTCTTATTTTTTCTCAGTCCCCACAACACTCTGTTTATTCCTTCCACTCACAGGAACCCATGACATTGAGTGTCTCTCCCATTCCTTTGACATTTGTCCTCAGTCTTTTGAAACCGCTGGCATTATCAACTTTCAGTGTTATTTAACATTCTACATGCCTTGTCTCTTTCACCAGGATACTAATTTTCTGAGAATAGAACCATGTATTTTATTTCTTCATGTCTGTCACACAGTCCAAGATATTACTATCCCATAATAAACACTCAATAAAAAGACACATACAGGCAAGTGGTCTCAAAGTTCAATACACACACACACACACACACACACACACACACACACCAGATTTAAAAGCCCCTTTTTGACCAATCACAAACTGGAATTTGGGGAGAGTCTTTCAGTTTCTTCTTTGACAATATGGGGAAAAAATATCTACTTCACAGAATTATCGTCAAGGTTACATATTGCTTGTCAATAATCTATTTTATTCTATAAAAGCAAGGCACAAATATGGCTGATATTTGTTGAAAAAAACCACATTTTATTCTGAATTTGAAAGATTTATTACATAAACAGGTAATCCTTTCCATTGTGGTTTGTAATTATGAATGTAATAAGAGCATTCGATTGGAAGTAGAGATTACCTATCCTAATCTTGTTTTGTAGATGAGAAAACATCACAGAGGTGATATGTTTCAAAACTATACAACTAGTGGACTACTATATTTAATCAAGATTTTGTTAAATAAAAACTCATACCTTCCAGTTTATATACTTTTGGAATAATTAATATGCTTCAAATCAAAGAAATATTTTATTCAAAATTGACCTATAATCAGTGATTATAATCATCTTAGTAATTGCCTTGGTTTTTAAGAAAACTGAATAGAATTCTACATGATGAATTTTCTCAATATCGTTACCTATTGCTGATGTTAAGTGGGTGCTTTGTCTTTGAGCTGTTACATAAATCCGTAAGTCTAGAAATGGGAATGTAGAAGATGATGAATTAAAAATTATATTCACCTAGGGCTGGGTGCAGTGGCTCACACCTGTAATCCCAGCACTTTGGGAAGCCGAGGCGGGTGGATCACCTGAGGTCAGGAGTTCAAGACCAGCCTAGTCAACATGGCAAAACCCCGTCTCCACTAAAAATACAAAAAATTAGCTGGGTGTGGTGACATGTGCCTGTAATCCCAGATACTCAGGAGGTTGAGGCAGAAGAATCACTTGAACCTGGGAGGCAGAGGTTGCAGTGAGCTGAGATCACACCATTGCACTCCAGCCTGGGCGACAAGAGCGAAACTCCATCTCAAAAAACAATTTTTTTTAATTATATTCACCTAGCATCTAATTTATGCAGCTTTAAACATACATATTATGAAATTGACCATATGACCATTGACCTGATGGTATGGAAGAAATACACTTAAAAGGATTAACAATGCCCAAGAGAATATACAACTCCTGGTTATATAATAATGATGTAGCCAATTATAATACGGAAGTTAAAAAAAATAAAGAAAACTTGTGTCCAGTTCTTCTGAATTTGTGGCTGAGAGCCCCGGGGCAAGGAGTGCAGAGCAATTGTGTGGATACAGCCTCTAAAGGGAGAAGCCCCTGCCCACCCATCTTGATAATTATCTGCTTTCTCTTGCTTACTCTTTATTTAAATCTGCATGATTACAGTACGGGCTTGCCAATAGAAGAGGGCGGCTGAGCTTCCTGACAACCGCACATTCAAGTAGCCAGCAGTGCTCCTGCAAGCCACAAGATCTGTCAGCACGCTTGCGTTTGCCAGGAGAAAAGGCGAGAAAACTGCACTTTAAACATCAGGCTCAGAAAATCATTAGGCTATCAGCTCATTTTAATAAAGAACATAAATGCTTTTCCTGAGGAGACACAAAATCTTCATTTTAGGATGTGCCTTTTAAAACTCTTTAATGGAATTGTGGTGGGGAATGTCTATCGTACCACCTCATAAACGCTGGCTTCTGAAATCACATGGAAGATAACTGCAAGACTCACTGTCATTTCCATCATTTTTGTAGACAATCTCAGGCCTGGCGCGGTGGCTCACACCTGTAATCCCTGCACTTTGGGAGGCCGAGGTGGCCTGATCACCTGAGGTCAGGAGTTCAATACCAGCCTGGCCAACATGGTGAAACCCCATCTCTACTAAAAATACAAAAATTAGCCAGGCGTGGTGGTACGTGCCTATAGTTCCAGCTACTTGGGAGGCTGAGGCAGGAGAATTGCTTGAACCCAGGAGGCGGAGGTTGCAGTGAGCCGAGATCACGCCATTGCACTCCAGCTTGGACAACAAGAGTGAAACTCCATCTCAAAATAAATAAATAAAAGAAAATAGACAACATCTAAGTCCATGTACAGTCTACCTAGACAGTTATGGTATAGTCTTTTAATTATAAATTTGGACAGTTAATACACTGGAGATACAAATGCAGGTAGAAATATTCAAAAGATAACTACAGGAAGAGTCCCTCACAACCAAACTATTACTCCTGTCCTGTCTTTGTGCTGAGCTGCATGTCTGCTAAGTCTTTTCTCTTTTGTCTTTGTTTTCATCATTTAACATAAGTACAATATAAGCAATCCTTGGAGAAAAAGAAAATCAAAACATGTTGAATGAAATTTCATTAAAGAGACAAAAGAATGATAGCAGGTCCATGTCTCCCTCTCTCCCCATTTTCCACCCCTTCCTCCTTCTCTCCCTCTCACTTGCCCCGGTTTGTATGAAAGATCATTAAGGTAGTAAAGAAAGTATCTAGTGCTTGAAGCCTGGCATGAAGGTAAAGGCTTCCCAGATGGGAGAGAAAGCAATTTAAAAACAGCTGCTGACAACACCAGAGCTAAATTTTGCCTGCTTCACAATTTCTCTCAGACCTAGCACAATTAATATTTATTTCCCAATACACCTATTCTGTGCTGAACTGAGGCCTAAAACAGGAAAAAGTGGATTAACTGAAAAGAAATAAAGGAAGCTATCTTTGATTTCAACACCATTAACCCATTTATGCTGGAGGTTGCAATTTTTTGAATTTTTGCAATCAGACCTTGGCAATGACCTTGAGCAGCAGGCTATAAATAACTCCCACATACTTAGCGTTCCAATAAGGGAACACTAGGCATAAATGGGTTAATTCATATGTCAAAAACAGGTGGTAGTTACTAACTACAACAACCCCTATTTTTCTAGTCAAAAATGAACTCAACAGCCAAATATAATTGAAAAACATGGACCACATTTTATTCTGAATTTGAAAGATTTATTACATAAACAGGTAATCATTTCCGTTGTGGTTAAAGCTACAAATATCCAGACATTGTAGAAAGTTTAAGACTGATATTAGGGCTTGCAAATCAGGAGCTTATGAGGTTATTTCTTATGGAAATATTAATACACCTTTTCCTTTTTGCATTTTTGTCACTGTGTATGAATTATTCATAAGTAAAAATACTGAGATTTATTTTTCAGCATGAACACGAGAAAAAGGCAAATATAAGCTACTGAATTTACATCTTCACAAATATCTTGATAGCTCAAAGCGTTCTTAAGAAAGAAAAAGAAAAACATGACAATTTTAAAGTGATTTTTTTTTTTTTCTTTGAGACAGAGTCCGGCTCTGTCGCCCAGGCTGGAGGGCAGTGGCGCAATCTCGGCTCACTACAGCCTCTGCCTCCCGGGTCAAGCAATTATCCTGCCTCAGCCTCCCGAGTAGCTGGGATTACAGACACCTGCCACCATGCCCAGCTTATTTTTTCTATTTTTAGCAGAGACGGGGTTTCATCATGTTGGCCAGGCTGGTCCCAAATTCCTGATCTCAGGTGATCAGCCCACCTTGGCCTCTCAAAGTTCTGGGATCACAGGCATGAGCCACTGGGCCCGGCCTTAAAGTGATTTTTTTAACTGAAGATTTCTGTAGAACCTACTGGACAGCCCATCATTGTAAACAGACTCACAGAGGAAATTACTTCTTTGTACTAAAAGTGAGATCATGTGAGTATCAGAGATCACAGCACAGCTTTTCATGTTTGTCTGAATGAAAAAAAAAACAAACAAACCAGAAAGAAATGTAGCATCTGAAGCCCATTGCTTCTCCTTAAGTCAAATTCTTTTTTCCCCACTTATATCTTAGGGTTTTGGTGCCAAAGAAAATATATCGGATATCTGGAAGGTCGTAAAAAAGAAATTCTTCTTCCCTGCTCCATTCCCAGAGATCTGGCCCCAACAGATCTAGAGCTGTGCCTGTTAATCTCTGTCCCCAAGGGCCCCAGATAATTTTGATGCAGTGAACTGCTGGACAAACTTTGCAATACCTCAAATGCATAGTAAAAACTTCAGACTTGAGTGCTTTAGTCACAGGTAGGAAGAGGAGAGGAGGGAAAAAATACACCCTTGGTTAATTGTAAGAAGGTCTTCCCTGGAGGTTAGCATAGATGACATATACTTGGAGGATAGGCAAAAAGCCAGAACAGTTCACACCAAAGCAAGAGGTGCTCAGCATTAAAAATCTCCCTCTGCTGGCCGCAGGGACAGGGGTAGCATTGGCACTGACAAGGAGAGGGAGTTGGGCTGGGGATACAACACTGATGACAGCAATTGCTGTCTACTTATCCATTCTACTTATCCATACTTCTACTTACTATTCTACTTACCCTTTCTGCTTATCCATACTCTGTCATCCTAACCAGTGGCATATGCTGCTTTATTGGTAGTGATGCTCATATTGGTATAAAAATCCATAAAAATGAAATCCCGCAAAGCCATCTCTGATACTCAGTGCCTCCAAAGTGCAAAGGCCAAGTGCTCAAGTCTGAAGAATTTCAACATTGTGTAATTCAGTTAACTATTTTTTTTTTTTTGAGACGGAGTTTCACTCTTGCCACCCAGGCAAGAGTGCAATGGCGCAATCTCGGCTCACTGCAGCCTCCACCTCCCAGGTGCATGTAATTCTCCTGCCTCAGCCTCCCAAGTAGCTGGGATTATAGGCATCTGCACCACGCCAAGCTAATTTTTGTATTTTTAGTAGAGACAGGGTTTCACTATGTTGTCCAGGCTGGTCTTGAACCCCTGACCTCAGGTGATCATCCCGCCTCAGCCTCCCAAAGTGCTGGAATTACAGGTGTGAGCCACCGTGCCCTGCCTCAGTTTACTTCTAAGTTGTGAAACTAAATCTGCAATGAATTAATTTGTGCGTATTAGGTACCTGGGGAGGTTTATTGTGTAAGGTGGTAAGATCAGCTTTCCTGGAGATATTAAAATGCCTGAGACACACTTACTTGTATGCTCTAAGATTCATTTTATAGACGTCTACTCACTTCTTAGGCAATGAATATACCTACAAAGGGATTTTACTTTTCTAAAGTTTTCCTTCTCTATAGCTTCCTTGGGCCATTTATATCTAAGATGCCTCATTCCTAGCCTGCCCATCAGAATACTCTACTCGACATCTAAAATGAGCAGGCAAACAGCCTAGAATTTCTCTGTCTGGACTGTTTCTCCTTAAACTAAACAAAAACATTAAAAAAAAAAAAAAGGAGCATGAGGTCAAGAAGATGGATGACACAATCAATTATGGTATTTCTGGCATTGAGTTTCTTATTTAGTGTAAATGTGAAACAATTTCCCTACAAGAAAAATTTTACGAAACATCATTCAAGACATGGCTGTTTTATTATGGAAGCACTTGAAAAGTTTACAAAGCTACTATTTAGCACAGTAAAAAGAGGAATGGAGGTAACTGTTTAAGAGTTGGGTGCAGCTAGGCCGGGTGTGGTAGCTCACGCCTATAATCCCAGCACTTCGGGAGGCCGAGGTGGGCGAATCACGATGTCAGGAGTTCAAGACCAGCCTGGCCAACATGGTGAAACCCTGTCTCTACTAAAAATACAAAAAATTAGCTGGGCATAGTGGCGGGTGCGTGTACTCCCAGCTACTTGGGAGGCTGAGTCAGGAGAATCACTTGAACCCAGGAGGCAGAGGCTGCAGTGAGCTGAGATCACGCCACTGCACTCCAGCCTGGGCGACAGAGTGAGACTCCATCTAAAAAAAACAAAAGAGAGAGTTGGGTGCAGCTGTGCTGAAGAAAGGTAAGGAATAACTGATGAATAACTGATGTCAATTTTGTTTTATAATGGTTGATGGAAACTTCTTTCCCCCCTCTTACAGTTTGACTTCCTGGATAAAAATAAATAGGTAAGGTAGTGAAATAAAAACAATTATGTTGGTAATTAATTCAGTAAATGCTTATTGGGTGTTTACTATGAGTTAAGCACTTAATTGAGGACAGATTATATCAGTGAAGAATGCAAAAAAGGAAGAAATTTCTGCTTTTGTGAAATATTTGTGCTAGTATAAGAATGCATACAGAAAATAAGCATATCAAGCAGATAAATATACTATGCAAGAATATAAGTGGTATGGAAAAAACAAAGCACAGTTAAAGAGGATCCATTAAATGACAGTTATTTTTTAATCACATCTTCAGTGCAGATACTGTGTTAGATGTGAGAAATTCAACAGTGTCCAAAATACTTATAACGCTTAAGGACTGAGAACCTCTTCCTGTGACTGAGACATGATCCAGAGTTGGCCAGCTTGAGGATGTGAACTGATGCTTGGCCCCACCTGGCCAGGGAAGATATTGCTCATAGATCAACAGCACTACTTCCCATTGGGCCCCACAATTCATCTCCATATAGTGTTCCATAGAGTCTGGATCTGTGAATCAGAGCCAACACTTGAAAGGAGTGCAGTTAGTGTGAGGATGGAAGCTGATCAGTACATGCCCATACCTAAACAGGAGGGCACACTGTCAGAGAGCATGCCCTGTATCCTTTGATCCCAGTTACAGAAACTGACCCTTATCAAACTGCATCGATATTTTATGGCTCATTTTGAAAATATAGGTTTCTTTTAATTACATTATTAATGGGGTTTATTACATTTTTCTCTTGAGTGATGCATACTATCCCAGGAACAAATTATTTTTCCAAAGAATGTATTTCTAATGATAAAATAATGCATAATTATTTTATGTAATCTGTTTTACCAAAATTTCAAAACATTAAAATATAAAAGCTTCAAAATTTTAAATATTAAATGTCAGTGTATACTGTATTCCATAGAAACAGAGATGTTTGCAACACATAATCAACTACCTGACATCCTTTTTTTCACCTACTAAGGAAAAATGATGGCACTTCTTGCAGATACTGTGTGACTCAGAGAAGTCTATATAAATATATATACATACATGGTTATATACAGATATCATTTACAACACATGTGTGTAGGTATATATTATATATGTATCTACACACACATACACATAGAGATAGATAGATAGATAGATAGATAGATAGATAGATAGATAGATAGAATGAGGAATTAAAAGAACTAACAGACTGTTCTCACCAAATATTTTTAACAAGAGAATGAGACTTTGTTCCTCTAAAGATAATAAAGAAAAATGACAATAAACAATACTATCAAATAATCAGTGGTCCATATCCAGGAGCACATCTAGTTTTGTGGGGCTTAAAGCTCATACACTTTTGGAGGCCCTCTTTATAAAAAGAATAAAAAATTATAAAGGCAAAATTAGGTTAGAACATGAATTGTTATTAAGAATGAAAAAACAACAAAATTGCTTATTTTTAAAAGCTGATATGTATTATAAACATCAGAAAATTCATAAAAGTAATATAATTTTTATAAATTAACTGGCTAACTGGCTGGCCCTGCTCTATGATAATTTATTCCCCACTTCCTTCTGACTCCATATTTTTTGATCAACTCCTCACAAGAAAACAATTTTTTAAAATCATTTGTACAGAAAAAAGTAGTAAAACAATTCAATCATTCTTTTGGCATGGTTTGATAATTTTAAAAATTTTTTAAGCTTCACAACTTCTTATTGGTAATCCCATGTAAATTTTGAGAATTACTGCCAAATCTGAATGCTAAAAAATCTCTACCAATTTTCTTTATTCATGAACTCTAAAATTTGGAAAAATGTTCCATAAACTATTTTCTAGCTCTATGTGTTTCAAACCTTGTTACTTCTCTCTTTTTTTTTTTTTTTGAGATGGAATCTCGCTCTGTCACCCAGGCTGGAGTACAATGGCACGATCTTGATTCACTGCAGCCTCAGCCTCCTGGGTTCAAGTGATTCTCCTGCCTCAGCCTCCCTAGTAGCTGGGATTACAGGTGCTCGCCACCATGCCTGGCTAAGTTTTGTGTTTTTAGTAGAGACAGGGTTTCACCATGTTGGCCAGGCTGGCCTCAAACTCCTGACCTCAGGTGATTCACCTGCCTCGGTGTCCCAAAGTGCTGGGATTACAGGCGTGAGCCACTGCGCCCAGCCCAAACCTTGTTCCTTCTCAAAGCCCACATACTTTCCGTAAATGAAATGGTGTAACACATCCATATCACAGTACAACCTTTGATTCTTCATCTCTGTGAGACAATGCTATACTTGGCACAATGGATAGTCCTAGTATTCCTGGAGGCCATTCCTACACCTGAAGAGCTTACAAAATCTATACATACAGAAATGACTACAAACAACAAAATTAAGTAACCCACCAAATCAAAATAAATATATCCCAAACTCAATTCCCTGTAGCCAGATCCTGAAAGTGCCCATAGTCTCTCCATCATCACATGGCACTAGGAGTACTATGATAATGGGTATAAAGTATAAAGATACAGTATTCATGAACAAGTGCAGTTAAAACATTTTGCATTTGGAAAAAAAAAAAAAAACAGATGATGAATTAAATACCTTGTGGGGGCTCTGCCCAGGGAAAATAGAGACCATGAGTATAGATAACCCATTCAAGGCATTTTCCCCCAAGATGTAAAGGGAAAAGGAACAGGTGTTGTAGAGATGTTTATTCTGATTTGTTTTTTTTAGGATGAAAGAGACCATGGCATATACGCTGACTCAAATGATCAAATAGAGAGACAGCATTTGAAGGACTAGAAGAATACATGAATGACTGCAGGACAGGGCCTCATTTGCTGACCAGAGAGGATGGGATCCAGGACATGAATAGAAGAGTTGACCATAAACAGAAGCCTGAAATTGTCATCCTTTCTAAGAGCAGAAAAGCAGAATATGTGGTACATGCATGTTGTGTTTGCAAATACGGTGATGAGAACATATGGAATTTCTCCTCTGATCACCTCTTTTCCCAGTGAAATGAGATACAGTGTTTTTAGCTGAGAATGAGGAACTAGGAGAAAGTTGATGTTAGCCATTGAAGGCGAGAGGAGTTGTGAGGTGACTGTCTTGAAAGAATGGGAGAGTAGGTTAACTAGGGAAAGTCATAAAATCGCCTGGAAGCAGTGGTGTCCATTTGAACATTGTGTTCATGAATTTAAAGAGCAACCATTAGAATGGCTATGTGTTTTTCTTCAGCCACACATGGTTGGTTCCAAGTATGGAGAAATTAGATTTAACAGGACTGGGTTTTTCTGATGAGTGTGATGAAAATAGAGACAAACAAAGGAGAAAACAAGTCATACTTGGGAATAATAATGATGATGGACCATGGATTCTAATTTGGACAAAGAGTAAATAAGAGTCATGATGGAGAGGGGAAAGGTGGTGGAGTCCACACATTGGAGGAATCAATGTTATTGAAGAATTTCTGAAGTGGATGTACTTCAAGGCCTTGGAAATTTAGGAGGCCATCTTTGGAGAACAATGGGCCTAGAACTGAAATTACAAAGTGTATTGTAGGAATGACAATATCTAAGATATGCCAATGAGAATGAGTGGCTAAATCAGGGTGAAAAGTAAGATCAAGGTAGGAAGTCAAAGAAGTAAGAGCCAAATTATGGAATATTGGAATAGTATTAGAATTTGCTCCTGAATATGAATAAAGAAATCACCAAGAATTATGACTGGAATAGTGTTGGAAAAAGTGTGAGCCAGGTGCTAAAATCTTCAAAGAATGAGAGTGAGGTCCTGGAGGACTGTTGATTGTGTAGAAAGGGTTATTGGTGGGGAGAGGAATCTGTTAACATTAGCTTCAGTGCAGCTGAAGGTTGTTAGTGGGGAAGAAGGGAAAAACGGTTTGGAAGTTTCAATAAGAAAGAAGGACACTAACCCCGTATCAAGACCTACTGACACAGTAAGGGAGAAAGAACAGCTTCCATTTGAGAGGAATTTAGGGGAAGTAAGGTCATAAAGAATAACTAAGTTTCTGCTGGAGCAAAAAATAGATTTGGTGAAAAATATATAGAGAGTTTAGATAAAGAATGATTGAGTTTCAGAGGGTAGGCGAAAGGATTTGGAGAAATGCATAGAAAAATGTGGAACTGGCTGATATCAGGAGGTGTACAGAGCTTGTGAGGATGTGAGAATAATGCTGAGAGGTGTCCCGGGAGATTCTCATGTGCTCACCCGGAAAATACTCACTGTAGTTTTCCTCAGCTTTATCTTCTCCAACTTAAGCATGCCTTGGAATCACTTTCAGGATTTTCAAATACAGATGTCTGGCATACTCATTCAGAGTTTCTAATTCAGTGGGTCTTGGGTGGTGCATAAAAATTTGCATTTCTAAAAGTGTGTCCAGATGACGTTGATGCTGCTGGTCTATGGACCATACTTCGAGAACCACTGTTCCAGTTCTTCCTCAAAGAAGACGGATCTGTTTCACCTGACTAAGCTAATTGCATGCTCTCACAGAAAGCTGTACTTTTCCTTCAGAGCACTTTGTAGTCATCCACATTTACTTACTAGTTACACATAGTGTATGCTTTTGTAAATGATTCCAACAATAGACACGTACATAGTAAAATATAAGCATTTCTCTCCATTCCCATTCTTTTCTGGTGCCACCACTTTTACAAGTTTTGCATACATTCTGCTTGTTTGTTTTCTCCTCTCTCTCTCACCTTCTCTCTCTCTCTCTCCCTCTCTCTCTTTCTCTCTCTGCAAGTGTCTGCACATGCAAAGGATAGATCATCGTTTTTCTTCACAGAAGAGGAGATAGGACCAATAATTTAGAATCTTGGTAATTAACTTAAATCAAAATCATGGTGTCCTATTTGACATGATATTTAATGTTAGTACTGAGGAAAATTATTCTACAGCCTTGCATATATACTCATATATGCACATATATATAGCCTTGCATATATGTATCATATATAGATATATAATCTGTAAATTACAAAATATATATAATCTGTGCCTATACTATATACACACAAACATACAGAGAATGAGATTTGAGAGAATTTATTTCTCTAAATTTCCGATACAGGAAAAGAAAGTCCCACTTAAATTTCAACTTGGGTGCACAATTTCCTCCCTTAGGTAAGACAATAAAAATAAAAATGCCATAATGTCCTCACCCTTTGGTGAAACTGTTATTTGTAAATGGTGAAAACATCCCCTCCGGTATTTATCTATGAACATTGAATAAAGCTTTAGAGCATTTCAGACAATGAATGGGTCTTACTTTAAGGATAAAATCTGGATTTTTCCTTGACATTGAATTTTATAATAAATAAAGAATTTATTAATTTTTTTAGAAAACAATTTAGGCTTTACCAGGAAGCCCCCAATTCTTCACAGCAAGGGTTGAGCATGAATGACTCATTGAAAGAATATATGATGGAACAATTAAATCTCTCAATTTGCCGCTTACACACCAACCATATATGTTTGCTATGGAACAGTAAGAGAATTTGGGTTGTTAATGATTTCTGTTTACTGCAGAATAACCTCTTAAAAAGTAGAAATGAATGTGTCAGCCCTTTAACTATATATAGAAATGAATGTGTCAGCCCTTTAACTATACAAAGGTGTTCCAATTGTTTATTGAAAAGTTTTGTGCATTCTATTTACTCTTTTATCTAAGCTTTTGAAGAACAAATACAGGTGTCTTATACAGCACCCACAAAAATGAAGACTCCCCATGCCATACTCAAAAGAAGAAGCAGGAAATTTGTCTAATTTTTAGAAGTACTAGTCAAAAACTTCCCAATTATATGTGCATCACTTAGCTGTGTTTCTGTTGATATAAAAATCTTATTTAAAAGTTCGGTCACTAAGGGTCATCTCATGGAAATTAGAACTGGACACTGGGTTGAAAAATTACGTAACTGAAAATATAGTATAAACTGCAGAGTCCTCCGAAAATGTATATCACTTTTCAATTAGTCATTGCCATAATAAAATGTGATCCTGGATTGAAGTTCCTATTAGATAAATACTTTGGCCTAAAAGAAAAACATTTCAAAGTAACCGTTGCCACTAGAAAATTAGGACACATTTTATGCCCTTCTTACATAACATTTGGGCTAATAGGTTCTATAATCAGATTGCCTAGGCTCAAATCCCAACTTTCCCATTTATTTGGGTCACAGAAAATTGAAATTCTTTATCATATTTTAAATTAATCTTCTAAAGTGACTGTGTTTGAATGTATATGGTTTTAAAGGAGAATGTGACTTCTGTGACTATAATTTTAAAATGATCTTTGCAGATATAGGGGTTTATTTAATTGGAGCCAGATCAGGAAATGCATAGAGTTAATTTTCAGAAGGTCTGTGGATAAAATCAATTCAATTTGAAAAACACAGTTTACAATTTTGAGTAAGCCAGTTTTAACAAATGTAATTTTCTTTAACAAGTATCTTTAATTTTAAAGACTTAAGTAAATAGTTCTTTAAACTACTTACACTGACCAAAAAAAAAAAAATCCTTTTCTTTTTTATTAAAAAACTTAGGTAGAAACTAAAATTTGTGATAAGCTATTTTGGCTGAGTATTTTGTCTCCTGGAAGCAGCTATATTAAAAGTTTCCTTTTGTTTTGCATCATACAAAGGCTTATATCTTATAGCCTCAGGTATATTTTCTGGCTAAGCCTAAATGTAAAAGTGCAGAGTTAATAATTTTCTGTTTTCATATTAGCAACGTGACCCTGCACAAGTCACTTAAATTTTTTAACCCTCATTTCCCTCTCTTGTAAAATGGGGATACTAATAGTACTACCATAGGATTGTTGAGAGTATTAAGACAATAACCTACGTATAGCACTTAGCTCAGTATTTTGCATAAATTAAGTGCTTGATAAAAATTGGTTCTATTTGTTAATTACTCTAGTATAAAAAAAGAAATGAAGGAAAGATACTTGAAATTAAAGCAAGTAAAAAGTTGAGGAATTAATACAAAAAAATACAACCGAATAAGGAAAATACACCCGAACAAGGGAGTATAGTATGGTGGGGAGAAAAAGAACAATGAAAAACAAATCTGGAGTTACAGTGTAACTAGAGCCATTAATTGCATGAAACTAGAATATTAACTAACTACAAAAGTTCTTGCTAGTTCTAAAATTTAGCATTTCTCAGAAAGCGTATGGTATGTACCAAATGAGCTATCTGTACACTGTCTAATATATGAGATCGGAATAGGAAAAAAATTTGAACTTGCAATTTTATAATTACATTATCTCCTACTGAAGTAGGAGTTATTAAGAAACTATTTTAGGCAGATAGAGAGGAAAAAAGGGGTCCTTGGAAGATTTTTTTGCATTGCTTGTCTAGCATGAAAGCCCTGGCTCTTAGACCCAGGCCAGCAACCTGTGATGTGCAAATGCCAGCTGTTGGAAACTGGGTCCACCCAGCATAGCCGGGTGGCATCCTTTAATATGCAAATGCCAGCCTTTAGAAACTGGGTCCACCCAACATGGCGATTCCCACCCTTGTCTTCTTGCCCTTGCCCCAACATGTGCCTGGCAGCATGGCTGCCCCCACATATCCCCACGTATGGAACATCATGTCGCCCTTCATTTGCATATTAAAAGGCTAGGGTGGGAAGGCCAGTTTTTTCATGGGCTATGTGAATAACATGCCTAGTCAAACCAATCCCCTGAGCCCTATGCAAATCAAACAATGCCTCCTCCAGTCATGGAATATAGCTGGCTGATATTACCTGAAAGCGAGGTCCCATCTCTCAGCTTTGGAGCCCCCTCCCTCTGTCTCTGTACAGGGGAGCCTCTTCTTCTTTTCTTCCCCCTTATTTCTTGCCTATTAAACTTCCTGCTCCTTAAAATTACTCCACTTGTGTCCGTGTCATTTCTCTAAATCGATTTGAGACGAAGAACCTGGTGTTCTTCACTCATCAGTGCCGTATCATTTTGGTGCATTGGCCAGGAATCTGAGGTACAGCCTTCCTCGGAGTGGTGAGTATGGGAGCAAGCTTAAAATCTGTTCTTTCATTCCAAGGCGCTCTTCGCCTCTATATTAAAATAAATCCAATAAATCAATGGGCGTCGGTTGGCCTAGTACATATGCTTAGCGTTGACTGCCGTACTCAAGTCACCGATGTAAGGCTTCCTGGGGGAACGTGGAGAACCCCCCCATTACCTACTGATATTGGGAATGTTGGCCACGTTTGAACTAGCTTCTTTTCACGGGGAACCTTACCATGGCGCGAGACTGAGAAAAGTTCTGAGGCAACTGGGAATTTCTGACCAGAGCACACCGTGGTGTGATTCAAAGGGCTCTGGACGGGACACAGCCCCCGACAGCCCATTCTGGGTGTTGGTAGAGAAACTCAACAGTCCTGTTGCAACACTCTTCTTCCTTCTCTATCCGCGGCCTCTTACCCTTTCTTTGCGTGAAATGTGCAAAGATTTTTACAGTCTAGGAACAGAGTTTTCCCCTTTCTCCCCATGGTGAGGTTACTTGCTACCACTTATCTGGCGAATACATAGCATTTCTAAGCAGACGGCATCACCTCATGGAAATAAATCAGGCTCTAGACCTCTTCCAGCAACAGGAAGTTTCTGCCTTTAGCATTTAGGAGTAAAATGTCTTCCATAGCCAAATTTTAGTCTTGATATTGTCCCACTGGCAGGAAAATGGCCATTCGGTTCCTACATTCCTTTAAGGCACCAATTTTGTCTTCTATTAAGACAGTACTTAGTAAGGGGATTTTAAGTCTGGAAGTTAACTGGAACCATTCTTCCAAGGGTAAATGCTTTAGCATGGGCTATAATAGCAGAATACAGAATTCAATCTAGCATGCCCCCTCCTTTAAAGGGGCCTTGCCCAATTACGTGGTTTTTCTTGAAATCCATTTTTTGGAAGGCACACAGGCCACACAAGTCTAGGAGGTCAAAGGGAAATAAAAGGCAGAGAACTCATTGCTCGGGGACAGCGTGACTAAGGCCCAAAACTCAGTTCCTCTGGTGCCATGGCTTGGAGGGTCACGCCTGCAGCCGTGGGTGACACATTTAAGTGGGTGCCAGGAATCCAGGAGCAACAGAGAGAGAATAGCTGGAGGGACACCCTCTACTGTTTTCATCTCCATCCTGGATCACATACTGAAAGGAAGGAGACTAAAAGGATGCTTTTATTCTCACTTCTCTTTCTAGACGGGTAACAGATCGTCTTCAACATGCACTTCCCTGGAGTGTATTTTAAGGCACTGGCACCCTTCGACTCTGAAACTTTGAAGAAAAAGCGCCTCGCATTTTATTGCACAAGGGCATGGCCTTCCCACCCTCTTGGGGACAGGCAAACCTGGCCTGCAGGGGGAACCTTGATTTTAATATTATCCAACAGTGAGAACTTTTCTGCAAACAGCGGGGCAAATGGACTGGGGTCCCCTATGTACAGGCTTTCTTTGCTCTGCAAGACAACCCAGACCTTTACAAGTTCTGTACAATCGACTCAGTTCTTTTAGCAGTAATGACAGGCAAGTTCACAGGGAGTAGTTTCCCCAGAGCTAATGTAGGCTTCAGAGGAGCAATCTGAGATAGCTACTGAATGTCCCAACCCTTCCAGTTCCCCTCCAATCCTACCATCAGCTCCACCATCTCCAGTATATCCTACTCTCCCCTCTTCAGTCTTCCCCCTTCCAGGAAATGCCTCACGAGAATGGTGCCATAAAGGTTCAAGTTCTCTTCTCATTGCAGGATCTTAAGCTAAAAAAGGGAGACTTAGGTCAATTTTCTGAAGACCCTGATAGGTATATAGAAATTTTCCAAAATTTAACTCAGGTGTTTGATCTCACATGGAGGGATGTTATGTTGCTGCTAAGTCAAACCCTCACTGCAGCTGAAAAGCAGGCAGTTCTGCAGGCAGCAGAAAAATACGGAGATGAGCAACATGCCTTCTATAGCCGCCCAAGGAGAAAAGGAAGGTGAGGAAGTGGTGGAAACTTCATTCCCACAAGGAAGGGAAGCAGTTCTGGTAGATAACCCTAATTGGGATCCCAATAACTCAGGAGATGAATGGAAAAGGAAGCACTTTTTAAGGTGTATATTAGAAGGCCTACAGAAGACCAGGGCTAAATATCTCAATTACTCTAAACTGTCCATGATAGACCAAAGACCAGATGAGAATCCCACAGCTTTTATGGAAAGGTTGAGGGGCACTAATAAAGCACCCCTCTCCATCCCCCGATTCAGTCAAGGGACAGCTCATCCTGAAGGACAAGTTTATTACAAAGGCAGCTCCCAGTATTAGAAGAAAGCTACAGAAGCAAGCAATAAGACCAGACAGCACCCTAGAAAGCCTCCTGAGAATAGCCACTTCAGTCTTTTACAATAGGGATTGAGAAGAGGCCGAGAAAAAGAGAGGAAGTACAAGAAAAAAACAGAGGCTCTAGTAGCAGCTTTACAAGCTTTTAATGTCCAGAATCCCTGAGGTGCATCCACTAGCTGTTATCGATGTGGTCAGTCAGGGCATTTTAAGAAAGAATGCCCAGGAAGCAAGACAAAGCCACCTCGACCCTGTCCAACCTGTGGTGGAGAACACTGGAGACAGACCTGCCCCCAGAGGCAGAGGTCACTGGGTTTAGAATTAGTCTCACACATGGTCCAGCAGTACTGATGGGTCCTGGGGCTCAAACCCCCGGCTCCAGCAACTCAGACTGCCATTACAGCACAGGAGCCCTGGACGATTCCGGAAATTGAAGGAAGGAAAGTAGATCTCCTTCTGGATACTGGGGCCAGTATCTCTCTCCTCCTCTCTAATCCAGGGCTCCCCTCTTCCCATAGAATGAGCATAAAGGGGTATCTCAGGAAAAACTCTAACTCAATATTTTTCTCAACCCCTTAGCTGCAGGTAGGGGGATGTACTATTTACACATGACTTTCTCATCATGCCTGAAAGTCCCACCCCTTTATTAGGTAGAGATATTCTAGTTCACAAAGGGGCCAGCATCCTTATAGCCCCAGGACAAACTTTTTGTCTCTCCCCGATGGAAGATAGCATTAATCCAGAAGTGTGGGTAATTCAAGGAAGAATAGGTCAAACTGTAACTGCTAGGCCAGTCTGAATCTATCTTAAGGGTCCCACTTCTTTTCCTAACCAGAGGCAGTGTCCCCTAAGGCCAGAGGTTAGGAAAGGGCTAGCAGCAATTATTGATAACCTAAAGATGCAAGGCCTCCTCAAACCTTGTAATAGCCCCTGCAACACCCTAATATTAGGAGGGCAAAAACCAATGGGTAATGGAGACTAGTTCAGGACCTCTGCCTCATTAATGAGGCTATAGTTCCAAACCATCCAGTGGTACATAATCCCTATACCCTGTTAACTCAAATACCTGAGGGAACTAAGTGGCTTACAGTCCTAGATTTAAAGGATGCCTTTTTCTGCGTACCATTACATCCTGACTCTCAATACCTGTTTGCCTTCGAAGATCCCTCTGGCCAGACCGCTCAGTTAATATGGATAGTGTTGCCTCAGGGATTTTGAGATAGTCCTCATCTGTTTGGACAGGCACTGTCACAAGACCTCTCTGAGTTCTCTCATCCTCAGGTTAGGGTCTTGCAGTATGTGGATGATATTCCGCTCTGTGCCCCAGCTGAGAAAGCATCTCAGGAAGGCACCAAAGCTACTCTTAACTTCTTAGCTAGCAGAGGATATAAGGTTTCAAAACCTAAGGCTCAGCTCTGCAAAACTTCAGTAAAGTACCTAGGCTTTGTGCTGTCTGAGGGGGCCAGAGCATTGGAGGAAGAGAGGATTAAGCCTATCTCCTCTTTCCTCCTCCCCAAAACACCCAAGCAAATAAGAGGATTTTTGGGGATTACAGGATTCTGTAGGCTATGGATACCTTGGTATGGTGAAATAGCCCATCCATTATATAACCTCATAAAAGAAACTCAGGGAGCTAAAACTCATCTTTTAATCTGGGAACCTGAAACTCAAAAGGCCTTTGACCAGCTAAAGCAAGCCTTGCTCAAGGCACCAGCTCTCAGCCTTCCTGTAGGGAAGGTCTTCAATCTGTATGCATCAGACAGGAAGAGAATGGCCCTGGGAGTTTTAACACAGGCCTGAGG
This sequence comes from Homo sapiens, assembly GCF_000001405.40. Classification (NCBI taxonomy): domain Eukaryota; kingdom Metazoa; phylum Chordata; class Mammalia; order Primates; family Hominidae; genus Homo; species Homo sapiens. The sequence continues at coordinate 228,304,619 of NC_000002.12, read as the reverse complement.
ACGAGCTCAACACCCAGTGAGTTACCTAAGCAAGGAACTTGATTCAGTGGCTAGAGGGTAGCCAGCATACCTCTGAGTCATTGCCTTGGTGGCTCTGCTGGTCCCAGAAGCCTCCAAATTAACTCTGGGGAATGATTTCACCATTTACACCCCACATAACATGATAGGACTACTGTACTCTAGAGGAAGACTTTGGCTAACAGCTGACTCCTTAAATATCAGGCCCTACTCTTAGAGGGTTCTCACGTCCAATTAAAGACTTGTTCTAGCCTAAATCCAGCCACCTTCCTCCCTGAGGAAACTGGGGAACCTGAGCATAACTGTGAACAAGTCATAGCACAGATCTATGCAGCCAGGGAGGATTTCAGAGAAACTCCCTTAAAGAATCCAGACTGAACCCTCTTCACAGATGCGAGCTCTTTTGTAGAACAAGGGATCCACAAGGCAGGATACGCAGTAGTCACTCTAAATGACGTCATTGAAAGTGTGCCTCTTCCTCTAGGCACAAGCACTTAATTAGCTGAGCTAATAGCTCCTACAAGAGCAATTGAATTAAGCAAAGGAAAGGTAGCTAATATTTACACTAACTCCAAGTAAGCTTTCCTACTTCTCCATGCTCATGAGGCCATTTGGAAGGAAAGGCATTTTCTTACCACCAATGGTTCTCCTATAAAATATCACCAGGAAATTAATAGGTTACTATCCTCAGTTTTCCTTCCACGAGAAATCGCAATAATGCATTGTAGGGGACATCAAAAGGGAATAGATGAGGTAGCTGAAGGAAATAGATTCTCTGATCAGGCAGCTAAGTCAGTGGGAAGAAAACCTCAAGATATCAACACACTTCAAACCCCTCTAGTCTGGGAAGGCTCCATAAGAGAAATTAAACCTCAGTATTCCCCTAAGGAAGTAGAATGGTCCACTTCTTGAGGGTATACATTTCAACACTCAGGATGGCTACAGTCAGAGGATGGCAAGCTCCACTTGCCAGCCTCTAGCCAATGGAAAGTCCTCAAAGTCCTTCACCAAGCTTTTCACTTGAGAAAGGTTAAAATGTATCAATGTGCCCAGAGATTGTTTTCAGGAGAGAACTTACTAAAAACAATTAATCAAATTGTTGATGCTTGTGAAGTCTGTCTTAAAAATAATCCCCTAAACAGTAGACTCCTTCCTCCTCAAACCCAAAGAATAGGAGATTATCCTGGGGAAGACTGGCAAATAGACTTCACCCACATGTCAGAGGCAAAGGGCATTCAATACCTGATGGTATGGGTAGACACCTTCACTAACTGGGTAGAGGCATTCCCATGCCATACAGAAAAAGCCTCTGAGGTTAAAAAAAAAAAAAAGTGTTAGTTAATGAAATAACTCCCCTCTTTTGTCTACCTAGGTATCTTCGAAGTGATGATGGACCCTCATTTAAGGCAGCTGTCACACAAGGGGTCTCAAAAGCACTAGGCATAGAATACCATCTCCACTGTGCTTGGAGACCCCAGTCCTCAGGAAAGGTAGAGAAAATTAATAATATCATCAAGAGACACCTCAGAAAATTATCCCAAGAAACTCACCTTCCTTGGGTCAGTTGTCTTCATATGGCCTTGTGAGGAATAAGAAATACCCCTTCAGAACTAGATCTTAGCCCTTTTGAGATGCAGTATGGATGACCTTTCCTTACCAATGATTTTCCATTAGATCAAGAAACCTCTGAGCTAGTCAAGCATGTAACTTCTCTGGCTCACTTCCAACAGCAATTAGCACAATTAGCAAAGGCCCAACCCCAGGAAATTGGACCACCTCTATTTAACCCAGGAGATTTGGTACTGGTGAAGACCCTCCCTCCTCTCTCTCCCTCCCTAAGCTCAAGCTGGGAAGGGCCTTACACTGTTCTTCTTTCCACTCCCTCGGCAATAAACGTTATAGCAATCGACTCTTGGACTCACACTCGAGTCAAAGCCTGGAAAGCTGAGGGAGCAACCCCTGACAGCCCAGAGGAACGACCTGAATATCAATGCGAAGAAATAGACCGTAAGCTGAAAATCACAAAAGAGAAGTAATGGAGTAAGAACTACTCATCTTACTCAGCCTCGCCTCTACCTCATGAACTACTTTATGTACTTCTACCTCTCCTTTTAAGCCAAATATTAATTACTGTAGCATTTTGCTTAATTACTATCCTTACGACAAGAATAATGGTTATTAACAGGAAGTAAACATGAGCGTTTTACTATCACTAAGTCTGTTAGGATTTTTTATTGGACTTAGTAACACATCACACCTCTTAGCTCCTACAATATCCGCTATGGCCCGTTTCTACAACAAAACTAATTGTTGGGTCTGTCCTAAGTGGTTCTCTCAGTTCAGTGGCACTGAGGAACCTGACAATGACCCAGAACTCGCCGTCTTAGGGTTCCCTTTGTTGGCTTTACCTTTAATCCTTAAAGGCATATCAGGCCTAAATGTAACATGGTATGGGAGCACTTTCAACTGGGTGACTAACTCCTTTCAAGAGAAAATTCCACCCCCAGTCCCAAAGAACACTCTCCCCAAAGATAAACTTCACACCCTTAGGCTGGGAAAAGTGGACCCAGTAATAGCAAATGCCTCCCTCTGCTTTTGAAGTAATGGGGAAGGACCATACTTGGGAGATCCCAAATATTGTAACATCACACTTGTAATTGCTGAAAGTTCCAAGATTTGGGGAGGAGAATGCAGCAAGGGTAATCTACAAGAATCAGAAGCCTTAGTAGGGGGCTTTCAGAATCTAGCCTCTCCCATTGGTTGGAAGTCCTGAAGGGAATGGCATGCTCTAAATAACCACCTTGATTATAATGTAAAGAATAACACATGGGCCTTTCCAAACATGCCTCCTTATGGAATTCCAGACCTTTGTGCGATGCTTGCTAATAGTAGCGGCTTACAAACCTCTCAGCGAACTGGAGACATCAAGACTGACAGCCCTTGCCACAGGGATCATCTAAGATATTGGCCAGAGCATATTATGTCTTTTTCAAAACTCCATTTGTCAGGAGGACCCTTTTCATTTGGCATGTCAAATTCTAAATGGCATCATAAGTGGCTATCCTAAATATGATTATCCTTATCCCAAGGATGTCCCTATTATATGTAATGAAGGAAAACTTCTACGATATGAGAAAAATCTGCTGGTATCTCTCACAAAGCACAACTTAGAACTCTGTCTTAAAGGATCAGGGCTATATTTTCTGTGTAGCTCTGGGATACACTTAATCTTCCCAAGAAAGTAGAAGGGAACGTATATTATAGTCGCAGTAGTTCCTGACTTATTATTTCTAAACTCTGCTGAGATGGCAGCATCATCTGGGGACATCCCTAATTTAGGCTCTTTTCTAGAAACTGCACTATCTCGAATATGCCGGACAAAAAGAGCTATCATTTCTATGCCCTCATATGGAAATTTAACTGAAAGGGCAGACTGGGGAGGGCATGCACATAACAATCCCATCTTAGAAAAACCATGGATGGGAAATTCTATAGCCAGAGGTCTATTCTGATTTGTGGGCATCCCTCTCCTTGAAAGAGTAATAGTTAATATCTCTACCCTATGATGCAATGAGGATGGAAGGCAACTGTAGGGGCCACAGAGGCACAATAGCGATCTACAGACTCTTTAGCCTCAATAGTGGCACAAACTAGATGAGCCTGAGATGTCCTTACAGCTGAAGTAGGAGGTACTTGTGCACTTTTAAATGAAACATGTTGCTTCTGGATTAACACCTCTAGGAAAGTAGAGGAAAATCTACAGGTACTTAAAGATCAAATCAAAATTATTGACAGGCTCAGGGAAATGCTGGCTTCTACTCCGGGTGGCCACAATCCTTCTTTAATGAATTACAGTCTTTACGGAATTGGTTGACCCTTTTATTAAGCCCTCTCTTGCTTATATGTCCTGTATTAATATTTGGACCCTGCGTACTCAATACTATAACTCAAATTGTTTCTTCTTGCCTAGAAGCAACCAAACTCCAAATGGTGCTGCAAACGGAACCACACATGGACGCACTGTTCTTCCGAGGACCCTTAGATCAACCCCAGGAGAAGCCCTAGCTGCTGTTCCCTATTTGACACTCCTTTTTAGCAGGAAGCAGCCAGAAAGAGTCATCACTCAGAATCCCTTAATAGCAGTTAGGGTGATATCTCCACAGGGAGAAATGAGGAGGAGTTATTAAGAAATTATTTTAGGCAGATAGAGAGGAAAAAAGGGGTTCTTGGAAGATTTTTTGCAGCCCTTGTCCAGCATGAAGGTCCTGGCTCTTAAACCTAGGCCAGCAACCTTTAATATGCAAATGCCAGCCATTAGAAGCTGGGTCCACCCAACATGAGGATTCCCGTTGTTGTCCTCTTGCCCTTGCCCCAACTTGTGCCTGGCAGCATGGCTGCCCCCATATATCCCCATGTGTGGAACATCATGGTGCCCTGCATTTACATATGAATAGGCTAGAGTGGGAGGGCCAGTTTTTTCCCTGGGAGCTATGTGAATGACATGCCTGGTCAAACCTATCCCCTGAGCCCTATGCAAATCAAACAAACACTTCCTCCAGCCATGGAATATAGCTGGCTGATATTACCTGAAAGCAGGGTTTCATTTCTAGGCTTTGGAGCCCCCCTCCCTCTGTACAGGGGAGACTTTTCTTTCTTTCTTCCCCCTTTTTTCTTGCCTATTAAATTCCCTGCTCCTTAAAACTACTCCACATGTGTCCGTGTTGCTTTTTCTAATTCGACTAGAGAGGAAGAACCTAGTGTTCTCCACTCATCGGAGCTGTATCATTACTACTGTTTTTTCCATCATCCAATTCCCAGAATACCATTCCTGTAAAATATTCCATGGAAAATGTTGATTTTGTTGATTTTAGGGCTCCACTGTAGACCAAAAATAAAATTCTAAGCCCCCAGCCAACTGAATGGACCCCTCTTCTCTTAAGGGCATTCCAGAGTTGACCTGAAAAACTAGTTCAGGCCATGATGGGAAGAAGAGCTGAGACAGACCTCATTATATCCTGCTCCATTTGGAATTCAGGCACAACTGGCCATCATTAACATTAAAACAGAGACCTAAGACTGACAAAACAGACCCTTTCTAGCAATAAAATACCAATAGCAGGCCCTGAAAGAAATTATTTTAATCCAAAATATATTTCTTTGGCATATTTTGAAATGGCCCTACAAAGCTGTCTCTTGGGGAAAGTCTACATTGTTTAGAGTCCCCTTCCCTTTCCAGGTCTTTTTCCTGATCCAGGAGAGAATTAACTAAGAGTCTGGCATCTTATAAAGTCTGATTAAAAAAAAAAAAAAAGCACTTGTAATGTATTCTCTCTGAAGCCTGCTACCTGAAAGCTTCATCTGCGTGATAAAAGCCTTGGTCTCTACAACCCTTATCTCAACCCAGGTACTCTTTTCTATTGATTCCAAGTTCTTAGATGATAACTTAATTCTTTCAACCAATTGCCAATTAGAAAATCTTTGAATCAGCCTATGACCTGGAAGCCCCCACTCTTGAGTTGTCCTGCCTTTGCAGACTGAACCAATGTACAGCTTACATGGATTGACTGATGACTTATGTCTCCCTGAAACATATAAAACCAAGCTGTAGCCTGACCCCCTTAAGCACCTGTTCTCAGGACCTCCTGAGGTGGTTCCATGGGTTATTGTCCTCACATTTGGCTCAGAATAAATCTCCTCAAATATTTTAGAATTTGACTCTTTTTATTGACACCGTAAAGCACTTTAGTATGTTAAAGCATGAGTGCAGGGCAAGGGGGAACCTACACTATTCTTTCTCTTCAGCTGAGTCTACAGAATAGGATCTAGATAATGTAGGACTTGATTAAGGAGAGACAACCAGCAATCAATGTGGTTTGACCCAGATGTCTTTGATAGTATCTGGGGATACAGAAGTTGAAAGGAGAACACTGAGGGAGTGATATGTTACTCTCCCTGTAATTTTTTCTACTCTCTGACTCTGCTACATACTCTATCCACATATAAAAACTTAGGCTGAAAAATAGAGTGAGAAATTATTTCCACTTCAGGCTAAGATGGAGTAATAGGAACTAGATTTATCCTCTTTTTTGAAACAAGAAAATAAATCCGGACAAAATATACAAAACAACGATTTTCAGACACCGATATCAGGCAGAGCAGCACAAGATCACTGAGAGAGAGAGGAAGAAAGATGTGCCCTATAATTGCCCCAGCTGACTTTCAGGCCACAGCATGGGGTATGAGGTGAAGCAGGCTGAGTCCAGTGGATTCCATGAGCTGGGGAGATAGAGTTGGCTAGCCAAGGAGATCAAGCTGTCTAGAGACTGCAGGTGAAAGTACTTGAACAAAGAGAATTGCACAGAGGAGAGCGCCAAAAATCCACATTGTTTTGCCCTTTAATCTTCAGCTGAGTACTGCTAAATGTGTGCCTATGAGCAAAACTGCCTAAGGCTGGAGTGGAGTCGGGGGAAGGAACAGTCAAAAAAGATTTGTGAGAACAATAGCCAGAGATCACAACAGGCCAGAATAGTTGGTGTCCCCATCAGCCGAGGTAGAATAACAACACAATTCTTGATACTAGCGGTAGAGGATTCAGAAGAGTATTGCCTAAGGATAAGGGCAAAATTAGCACTAGAAGAAAGGTGGCTCTAATTCCATCTGACAAAATATTAAAGCAAATGTCAAAAGATTAAGTTATTTACATGTAACTTAAATGTATCCCAGAACACAGCCAAAAAATATTTATAAGAATACAAAAATATCCAGCACACAAAATGGTAAAGTTCACCATATCTACAATTCAATTAAAAAAAAGATATGTAAAAAGTAATTGATCTATAATGCCTAGAAAAATCAATCAAAAAAATGAAAAAAATGAAAGAATAAATAGAAAAGGACATTACAAGTTATTATAATTATATTCCATATGTTAAAGAAAATAAAAGAATGATAGAGACCTACAAAAAATTGTAAGAATACTTACTTTGAGATAATTGTAGATTCTTGTACAATTGTAAGAAATAATACAGAGAGATTCCGTATTTCATAGTATGAATGTAAACAGTTTGCTTAATCAGTCACCCACTGAGGAATATCTGGGTTGTTTTCACTTTTTAGTTATTATTAATAAAACTGCTACAAACATTCCTATAAGGACTGTGTGTGAACATGAGTTTTTATTTCTCTGGGATAAATGGCCAGGAGTAAAATTGATGGGTTACGTGGTAGTTGCATGTTTAGTCTTGTTGAAAACTGCTAAACTGCTTTCTAGAGTGGCAGTACCATTTCTGCATTCTCACCAGCGATGAGGAGTTTCTTCACAACCTTGTCAACATTTTTAAATTTTATAGGAACTGCATAAATTATGCACATTATGCATAAATTATGTATATTAATTTGGAGATAATTGATATCTTTGAGTCTTCTGATCCACAAACATGGTGTTTTCATTTATCTAGTTCTTTAATTTATTTCATCATAATTTGTAATTTTCAAGATGTAGACCCTGTGCGTATTTTATTAGATTTATAGCTAATTCATTTTTTGAGTAATTGTAAATGATATTTTTAATTTCACTATCCAATTGTTCATTGCTAGCATATAAAAGAAATACAGTTTATTTTTGTAAGTCAGCTTCATAGCTTGTGGATTTGTTGAACTTAATGATTCTGGGAGGTTTTTTGAAGATGTGTGGAATTTTCTACATAGAAAAATCATGTCATCTTGAAATCAAAACAGTTTTATTTCTTCATTTCTCATATGTATATTTTCCTCCCCTGCTCCTAGCCCTGCCCTTTCTTCCTTTGTTGCACTGGCTAGAATTTCCAGCACTATGTTGAGTAAGGATGAAAAGAAGAGACACTATAACTTTATTTCCAATGTTAGAGAGTATTCTATTTTTCAACTTTAAATACCATGTTAGCTGTAGATTATCTGTAGATGCTGTTTAGGAGTTAAATAAGTTACTCTCTATCCCTATCTTTCTGGAAGTCTTTATCATGAATATGTTTTAAATGTTGTGAAATACTTTTTCTGTATAGATATATATGATTATGTGATTTGTCTTTAGTTGACTGTTAACTAGTGAATTATATTGATTGATTTTCAAAAATTGAGCCAGATCTGTATCAGTATAATAATCCCCAATTTGCGATGGTGTTTAACTCTTTTTATATATTATCCATTCTATTTGATTACATTTTGATAAGGAATTTTCCATTTCTTCTTTATGAGGTTTATTAGTTTGTAATTGTAATTTTCATTATATTTGTTTTTACCAGGATAATACTAGATTCATAAAAATAATTAGAAAATGTTCATTTATCTTATATTTCTTGAAATAAATTATATAGAACTTGTGCTAATTCTTTTAAATTTTTGATAGAATTCTCCAATGAAACCACTTAGGTTTTAAAGTTTCTTTTTTGGAAGTTTACTTTGTATTATTAATTCAATTTTCTTAATATTTATAGAAATGTTCAAATGAATTTCATATTAGGTAAGTTATAGTAGTTTATAATTTTGAGAAATTGTTCAACTAAATTATCAAGTTTACATGTATAGAGTTGTTTGTATTTTCTTATCGTCATGTTAATGTCTACATTAAAAGGGTCTGTGGTTATATCCCTGTTTCCTTCCCAATACCTGTAATTTGTGTTTTCTCTTTCATTTTTTTTTTCCAGTCTTGCTAGAGGTTTTTAAATGCTGTTGATCCATTTGCTTTGGGTTTATTTTGTTCTTCTTTCTCTAGGATCTTGAGGTGGGAGCTCAATGACAATGGAGAGCTCAATAATCCCCCACTATTATTGTGTGATTATCTAAGTCCCTTCATAGGTCTCTACAAAACTCATTTTATGAATCTGAGTACTCCAGTGTTAGGTGTATATATATTTAGGATAGCTATGTCTTCTTGTTGAACTGCATCCTTTATCATTACATAACGCCTTTCTTTGTCTTTTTTGAATATTGTTGTTTTGAGGTCTGTTTAATCTGAAATAAGAAGAGCAATCTCTGCACTTTGTTTTCTGTTTGCCTGATAGATCTTACTCCATCACTTTACTTTGAGCTTATGGGTGTCATTGCATGTCAGATGGGTCTCTTGATGACAGCATACCACTGGGTCTTGCTTCTGCCCTGCTCTGTCCAGGTCAAGCAGCCAAACTGGCTAGGGCTACCTAGAAGAGTATGGTGAGCCTTGGGGGATGGGCACCCATGTGCCACGTTTCATTGCAGCCACTTCCGTGCCTGACCCTCTGGTCTCCATGCAGGCTGGAATTCTGTCTCTGCCAACTCTCTGGGCAGTTCTTCGTGCCAGCTCACACATCCATGGGGGTCATGTGGTCTCCTGAATCTAGGATCCCAGAGGTACAGAGGTGTGGGCTGTCCCACACCTATTTCACTCGCCCCTTCCCTAGGAGCCATTCAGGGCCAGAAATGAGTTCTGGTGCTTGGCAACCTTATGCTGGATTCCCACCTTCCTTCCGTTTCAGCCCAGGGTCTACATCCTTCTTCTGCCCACTCTCAGTGCTTTCTTTCTGAAGACCTATTTGGATCTCCCACTTTGTGTGCTGGTCTACTTGATGGTCCTATCTCTCTCAGTGGGAGGAGCTCTTCCTGGCTGCATCCAGTTGTCCATCTTGACTCTCCCTCCTGGTGTTTCTATTTTAAAGTCACTTAATTGACAACTTTACTACCACTTGCAATCTTAAGTCTCCTTTGTCTTATAACCTAAAATATTTCATTTTCAGGATTTGAGACATGAACATCTTAAAGCTGGGTGGGGGGCATTATTCAGCCTAACACAGTCTGTTTAGACCATTTGTATATAATGTAATTATTCATATGCTAGAAGATAAGTCTTCTTTTAAAAATTTTATATTATTCTCTCTGCTTTCATTTCCCTACCTATTTTTTCTGCTTTCTTATGGGTTATTTAAACTTTTTTTAGAATTCATTTTGATTTATTTAAAGGGGTTTTGAGTATATCTCTCTGTACAGCTTTTTCAGTGGTTACTTTAGGTTTTACATTATATATATATATATATATATGTGTATGTAAACCAAAAATAAAATTCAACCCCCCCCCAAAACCATTTGAATTAACTCCCTCCTCATCCAGGGCACCCTAAAATTTAACTCAAAAGACTGGTTCAGGCCATGATGGGATGTGGGGGTTGGTTGGGTGTGCCCCATTATACCCCTCCAGCATTATCATTAACACAAACCTTAAGTATGATAAGAAACATTTACAGTCCATTCTCTCTAAAGCCTCCTTCTTGGGAGCTTCATTTGCATGACAAAACCTAGATCTTCTCAACCCAGACATTCCTTTCTACAGATAATAACTCTTTCAACCAATTGCCAATCAGAATATGTTCAAATCTGCCTATGACATGGAAGCCCTTCACTTCAGGTTGTCTCACCCTTCCAGATCAAACCAATGTAAATCTTACATGTATTGATTAATGTATTATGTTTCACTAAAGTGTATAAAAGCAAGCTGTAGTCCTACCACCTTGGGTACATGCCATCAGGACCTCCTGAGGCTGTGTCATGGGTACATCCTTAAACTGGCAAAGTAAACTTTCTAAATTGACTGAGATCTGTCTCAGATATTTTGGGTTCACATATATAACTTATCATAGTCTACTTATGTCATCATTTTACCTGTTTGAATGAAGTATAGAAACTTTACCTCCTTTTACATTGCTTATCCTCTCCCTCTCACACATAATGCAATGATATCAAATATTTCTTTTGTGTATATTTAAAACCATACCAGTCTTATAATTTTTTGATTCAACCATCAAACATAGTTTGGAAAATTCAAGAGGAAAAGGAAAGCCTGTTGTATTTACTTATATATTTGCATACCATGTTCTTTTCTCTCTTCTGATGTTCCAAGATTTCTTCTTTTATAGTTTTTTGGGGTTTTGTTTGTTTGTTTAGATAACATTATTTAGCCTTTTTTTTTTTTTCTGAGACAGAGTCTCACTGTGTTGCCCAGGCTGTAGTATAGTGGCATGATCTCAGGTCATTGCAACCTCTGCCTCCTGGGTTCAAGCAATTCTCATGCCTCAGCCTCCTGAGTAGATGGGATTACAGGCATCCACCACCACACCTGGCTAAATTTTGCATTATTAGTAGAGATGGAGTTTCACCTCTTTGGCCAGGCTGGTCCCAAACTCCTGACCTCAAGTGACCCACCTGCCTTGGCCTTCCAAAGTGCTGGGATTACAGGCATGAGCCCCCGTGAACAGCCTAGCCATTTTTTAGGGATAGCTCTGCTGGTGACAAATTCTTTTATTTCTCTTTCATCAGAAAATGTCTTAATTTCTATTAAAAATTGTTTTTAAATGAGTTATTAAAAATATTTTTTAAAAATATAAAAACATATTTTAAAAATAATTATTGCTAATAAGTCTCACTTATTAGATATTATATTGTTAACTGAAAACATGAGCACACATTTTAATTTTGAATACCTCTAAAATAAATAGTAAGTGAAAAATTGTATATATTTTTTCAAGATCATTATCTAAGCTCACTACCATTTATCCACTTGAGGATAGAAATTAGATTACCTTTCTATGGAGTTATGTAGTATAAAGGGACTACTTATTATTTAAGCTACTGAACTGACCCTATATTTTCCCACTGTGCATTTCACTGGTCTGTACACTATATCTGCCTAATTAATGTCTTCACTTCAGTTATCAACAGCTCTGTTCCCTTTCTTAAAGATGTCCATAAGCACCTGAATCATCACCTTCATTTAATGGCTCCTCTTGTCCCATATTTGAAGGTCTCCTTCTCAGGTAAGACGACTGCAACTCGAAAAGTTAAGTAAATCTTCATGGTTGTAGAATGGACTGTGCATATCAGGACATTCATGTGATCCCCTAATCTCTTCCCAAAGCTTTAGCCCTCTTCAAATATCCACGATGAGATAGCATTCTCAGCTTCTCTGTTAAAAACTCTTTATCTTTTAACAGTCCCTTGCTCTAAGGGAATATTTTTCAAAGTATGGTCCAGTCATTTACGTCAGACTTGATAAATGCTAATCAAAAATGCAGATTTCTAGATCTACCACAAGTCCCAAGCTTACTGCATATTTCATTCTTTTTTTAAATTTTTAAATTTTTTAATTTTTTTAATTTTTTGAGATGGGGTTTCACTCTTGTAGCCCAGGCTGGAGTGCGATGGTGCAATCTTGGCTCACCGCAACCTCTGCCTCCCAGTTTCAATAGATTCTCTTGCCTCAGCCTCCCAAGTAGCTGGGATTACAGGCCCGCACCACCACACCCAGCTAATTTTGTATTTTTAGTAGAGACGGGGTTTCTCCATGTTGGTCAGGCTGGTCTCGAACTCCCCACCTCAGTTGATCCACCTGCCTCAGCCTCCCAAAGTGCTGGGATTACAGGCATGAGCCACCGTGCCCAGCTGCGTATTTCATTCTTAACTAGCATGCAGGTGATTATTGGACATGCAGAAGGACTGAAGTCCTAGGTAGTTGGGTTCAGTTCCTCAGATCCTCATTCCCATTTCATTCTGCTGACAGCCAGTTATTAAGAGCGTTTTAATGCCAAAGAGACCTTAGTATTTTCAATAGCAAGAAAACTAATTTAATTGAAAATAAAACATGACAGTAGAGAAAGAAATCCGTAGTTCAGAATTTAGTTTTGAATGGAGTAAAATGAAAACGAGATTCTTTCTCTCCACAATGTTCTTGACTGTGCTACAGGTAAGTGTGAAACGACGGTAAAGCAGGGCTAGACTATTGGTTGCCTCATGGATAAATACCAAGTGGATAATGGTGTTGTAAATGGAGAAAAATGTGACAGTGAGAGGAAAGATAGCACAATACTTTCAACATGACACATTTTCTAAGACTGAGATTAAAAATATCTGTTTTCTTCTAGAATTGTGAAGAGTATTTTTAATCTTTGTATTCACATTCTATTGAATAAAAATTCTCTTTCACTCACATAAGCCTCATGTGTCTATACTCAGCCAAGATAGTGAACAAAAGCTTAAACTCTGGATCAAGATAGGTTACGACTTGGCTTCAGCTCTTCCACTTAAAATCTCATGAAGTTGGGCTTTTCACTTCCACCATTCTAGTTCTAATTTTTGTATGTAAGTAAAATATGGTCACATATTATTTCCTAGAATCACAGTGAGAACTAAAAGAGACAAAAACAATGACCATACTGCCTGGTGATTGTATGCACTCTGTCGCTCTTAGCTGCCCTCTCCTACCTGTGTATAGCATCCTGCAAAAAGATGGCAGAGAGAGCCATTCTGTGGCATTAATCTTTACCTTTATGAAAACCTATGTTCTTAACTAGATTGCAAAAGGTAAACTGAGATAATAGTTTTTTTCTCCCTATAAGGATGTTGAATATGCTGCAGATAAATGCAAAATGACACCAAAGTTTTGCCTATCAATAGCCTCATAAGCAACTATCAAGAGGATAATGGTGTGGCCTTCTTAACTTGTGCTATATATTCCAGCATCACCATTAGATTTTAGGCTGAATGTTTTCATAGAGGAACTGAAATGTCATTTGGATTCTTTCTAAGCTTCAGTATATAAAAATACATTAAGAAATGTTTTGAATTTAGGCCATACTATTACGCTACTCAATTTCAAACTCAACCTGGTAGTAATAGTTTATAATGTATGCCATAATTCTCACACTTGATACCTGGAAATAATAGCTTTTCCTTCCACTAAAATAAAGAGAAAAACAGTTTTTTAAAAAAGTATTTGTGATCCAAGAACTCTGGGTCTTGGCTAGAAGTTATGGGAAGATATAAGATGTCTGGAAAAGTGGATTACACTAATTTAATTTTGCAACCTTCTATCAAAATCTATTATCTGCTTATTATATGTTTCTATTATTTCTGCAAGCAGTCCTAACAAACACAAAGAAGAGGAGACAGTAGTCCCTTCTCCAACTTAGAAGCAAGGAGTCCTTACTCCACTGCTTTATGGCATCAATGTAACCAGCTTTGCTTAAAAAAAAAAAAAAACTCAATTTAAATGTACATACGTTATTGACTTCCATCAATTTACCAACTCCATTCTTCTCTAACACTTTCCCTCAAGTTCTGGAATATAGTTACATATACCTTTCATGTTAACCCTTTGTTTTTCACCAGTCTTTTCTTTTTGAGATGAGGTCTTACTCTGTCACCAAGGCTGGAGTTTAGGGGTGCAATCACAGCTCACTGTAGCCTCAAACTCCTGGGCACAAGTGATCCTCCCCTCCTCAAACTTCCAATTGGCTGAGACTACAGGTGCAAACCACCATGCCTGGCTTATTTTTATTTTTATTTTTATTTTTTTGGTAGAGACAAGGTCTTGCTATGTTGGCTAGGCTTGCCTCAAACTCCTGGGCTCAAGTGTTCTCCTGCCTCAGCCTCTCAAGTTGCTGGGATTACAGGCATGAGCCGCCAGGCCTGGCACATCAGCCTTTTCTTAAATACAATCTTCTGCCCAAATGCCCATACCATTACCTCTTTACACTGATGCCAGCTAAAATAATGTTTTAAAAATAGCAAGGTGAGTATCATTAACTAAAGTTAAATATATTATTCTCACTTGCAGTGTTCTTCTAGTATCTGGGGGAGATATTAAAGCTTTGTCAATTTTCTTTCTTATTTACCATAAAAGTCATAATTCAGTTAATTAATTCAACCTGAAATCATTATGAAACAAACAATGTATTTTTGATCAGCTAATGTAATGCATAAGAATAACTCTAGCATATTTTATTGTTTCAATAGTAATCCTCCATTCAGAAAACAGTTAACATAGCAGGCCTGAGGCTTCTAATCTTCTGAAGGTTCTGCTAGCAAGATTGGCTCTTGGGTGACTCTTGGCTTGGCTTCTAAAACTTACTGTAATTGATAAGGTTGGGTACCTACAGAGTCTGTAAATACAACGTGATTTATGGTGAACAACTGCTAGAAGTATGGGATTTTCATAGTGTCTAAGCAGAGAATGCCTATGTGACCAGTCTCAAATGGGCAGAAGCATCACACACTGTTGCTGCTAGAGGGAGAATGTCATCTGTGTGGCCACTCACCCAAAGGAGGAGTGTAGGAGGTGAATGTGTGTTTGTTGAGACTCCCCCCACCACTACCTATTTTTCCTTTATTTAACTAGCTTAGGATGCTTGCTGTGTTGTGATAAATCTTAGATATGAGTACGGCCCTATGCCAAGTCCCATGAGTCCTTCTAGCAAATTACTGAACATGTGGGTAGTGTTAAGGATTGCCAAAAGTGTTTCCTTATCAAATCAAATACAAATTACTGATTACACAAATTAGTATTAAGTAAAACAAGAAAATTTGTCTTTTCCAATCCCTCAAGACAGAATCAGTCTTTTTCTTCTCTTCGCCCATAACACGTTACTCCCCTGCTTAAAAACGTGTGATTATGACCCACTGCACTTAAGATACAAATTCTTCAGAACACCTACCAATTCCTTGCCCAACCTCACCTCAGTTGACTTGCTGTCTTGCTCCCTAGGCTTCCGCCATATTCCCCACCCCAGAGGAGAGTCATGCATTATATGCACTCGCCAAATGGGCCTTCTCTCCTCCATTCCTCAAATGCCATCCCAAATCTGTCTTTCTGCTCTGCCACAGCTCCCATAATTCACTGAATTTAAAGCACAATTTTAAAAGGTGGAGATTCATTATTAAAATTACTCTCCACATCTGGATGTGCTTTCTTCATAATTATTTATGAGCAACAAGATATCTAAAACTAGGTATAGCTGGAAATCCCTTTATAAACCACCTTAGTTGGTATGATGTCTGCTGAAAGATCGACTTTCGTGGTTTGTATCAGTTAAGGGGTGTTGACTGCAAATACAAAACACCTGACTAGCCATGGCTTAAACCATAAGGATAATATAACTTACCAAACACAAACTCTGAGACAGGTGGTTTTCAGGTATGCTCAAAAGCTCTACAGTATTAAGCCACTGAATTGGTGTTCCTGCATTTCTCTTAGCCTTTTCCTTTTAGTTGTAATTTGGCAACTGACACTCCAGACATCGCACAACCATATTCATTTAGAAAGCAAGGGGTAGGTGATGTGTTGGTGGTAAAATAGCTTCTTCTTCACATGGCTGGCTTTCTTTTTTTACCAGGGAGCAGAATCTTTCCCACAAGAGAATAGTTCTCTTCTTCTTACGATGTGTTGCCCAGAATAAGTCAACGTGCCCTCCCCTAGACCAATCACTGACAAAAATAAATAGATAAAGATCAACTCACAAGACTAGCTTAAATCAATCACAACTAGCCCACAATGGCTGGATAAAGAGCCTGAACATGTTGCTGCTGAAAAAGTAGGAATTAGGTTAGGAGGGAAAAAGGGAGCTTGGCTGGTGAGTAGACCAATGCTTTGGGCAGTATATAATGCATCAAAATAATGGGGAGCACTGATTTAAACACAGATTCTTGGGCCCAGCCTCCAGTTTCTTCTTCAGGCGGTCTGAGGTGGAACTTGAGAATCCACCTTTCTCACAACACACCAGGTAATGCTGCAGCTGCTGCAGCTGCTGCTGCTGCTAAGGGAACCCCACTTTGAGAACTACTAGGGGAGATAAACATCAGCCTCTGCCACACAACTTCACAGGTGCCAGATGAAGTCAAGTGTTATTAGTGGCTTATTTACAGGCATAGGTAAGGATTAGTGTTTATCTCATATGCAGATATATTTTCATACTGGCCTCACCTACAGTTGTAGGCAAGGGTTAGTAGTGGCCTCTCATTCAGAGTCAGATTATGCACTGAATCAAAGCAAGTTATCATCATTTTAAATAGTATTTATTATGTGATTCATCATGTCAAACCTATAGGAAAACTATAAAATAACACTTTCTTTGAGTAGCAAAAATTAACTCCTGAAGCCAAAATATTGGCCAGTCCAAGAAGAAAGTAAAAGCTTAGAACAATAATGAGTTCAGAAATTGAATCAGTAACAAAACAACAACAACAAAAACCTACCTACCAACCAAAAAAAAATACCTGGACCAGATAGATTCACAACTGAATTCTATCAGGTGTATAAAGAAGAACTGGTACCAATTCTACTGAAACTATTTCAAAAATTTTGAGGAGGAGGGACTTCTCCCTAACTCATTTTACACAGCCAGCATCATCATGATACCAAATCTGGCAGAGACACAATGAAAAAGAAAACTTCAGGCCAATATCCTTGATGAACATACATGCAAAAATCCTCAACAAAATACTACCAAACTGTATTCAGTAGCACATCAAAAAGTGAATTCATCACTACCAAGTAGGCTTGATTCCTGGGGTGCAAGGTTAATTCAACATACACAAAATAATAAATGTGATTCACCACATAAACAGAATTAAAAACAAAAGCCATATGATCATCTCAATAGACACAGAAGAAGCTTTCAGTAAAATCCAATATCGCTTCATGACAAAAACCCTCAACAAACTAGGCATCAAATGAACATGCCTCAAAATAATAAGAGCCATCTATCACAAACCCACAGCCAATATTATACTAAATGGGCAAAACCTGGAAGCATTCCTCTTGAGAACTGGAACAGGCGAAGGATGCCCTCTTGCACCACTCCTATTCAACATAGTACTGGAAGTCCTAGCCAGAGCAATTAGACAAAGGAAAGAAATAAAAGACATCTAAACAGGGTAAAAGAAAGTCAGATTATCTCTCTGTGTGGGCAATATGATTCTACACCTAGAAAGCCCTGAAGACTCTGCCAAAAGACCCCTAGAACTGATAAATGACTTCAGTTAAATTTCAGGATACAGAATCATTTTTTATACACCTAATGACATTCTAGCTGAGAGCCAAATCAAGAACACAATCCCATTTGCCATAGCCACAAAAAGAATGAAATAACTAGGGATACATCTAACCAAGGAGGTGAAAGGCTTCTACAAAGAGATCTACAAAATGCCCAAGTGCAGCGGCTCACATCTGTAATCCCAGCACTTTGGGAGGCTGAGGTGGGTGGATCACCTGAGATCAGGGGTTCAAGACCAGCCTGGCAAACATGGTGAAACCCCATCTCTACTAAAAATACAAAAATTAGCCGAGCATCGTGGTGCACATCTGTAATCCCAGCTACTCAGAAGGCTGAGGCACAAGAATCACTTGAACCCAGGAGGTGGAGGTTGCAGTGAGTGAAGATTGCGCCCCTGCACTCCAGCCTGGGTGACAGAGTGAGATTCTGTCTCAAAAAGAAAAAAAAAAAAGAGTGCTGAAAGAAATCATAGATGAAACAAATAAATGGAAAAATATCCCATGCTGATGGATTGGAGGAATCGATATTGTTAATATGACTATACTGCCCAAATCAGTTTATAGACTTAAGGCTATTCCAATCAAACTACCAATGTCACAGAACTATTTTTGTGACATTTTTCACAGAATTAGAAAACACTATTCTAAAGTTCACACAGAACCAAAATAGAACCCGAATAGCCAAAGTAATCATAAGCAAAAAGGACAAAGCCACAGGCATTACATTGCCCAACTTCAAATATGCTACAAAGCTACGGTAACCAGAACACCATGTTATTGGTACAAAAACAGACACGTAGACCAAAGGAACAGCATAGAGAAATCAGAAATAAAGTAATGTGCCCACAATTATCTGATCTTCAACAAAAATAAGCAATAGGGAAAATACACCCTATTCAAAAAATGATGCTGGAATAATTGTCTAAACATATACAGAAGAATGAAACTGGACCCCCAACTATCATCATATACAAAAATTAACTCAAGGTAGATTACAGACTCTAATGTGAGATCTAAAACTATAAAAACCCTAGAAGAAAACCTGGAAATACCCTTCTCAATATTGGCCTTGACAAAAAATGTATGGCTAAGTCCTCAAAAGCAATGGCAATGAACACAGAAATTGATAAGTGGGACCTAATAAAATTAAAGGGCTTATGCACAGCAAAAGAAACTACCAACAGAGTAAAAAGACAACCTACAGATGGGAGAAACTATTTACACATTATGCATCCAACAAAGGTCTAATATCCAGAATCTATAAGGAACTTAAACAGTTCAATAACTGAAAAACAATTAACTTCATTAAAAAGTACTCAACAGACATGAACAGACACTTCTCCAAAGAAGGCATACAAGCAGCCAACACACGTAAAAAAATGCTCAGCCAGGTGCAATGGCTCACGCCTGTAATTCCAGCACTTTGGGAAGCTGAGGCGGGCAGATCACGAGGTCTAGAGTGGATCACCTGAGGTCAGGAGTTCAAGACCATCCTGGCTAACATGGTGAAACCCCGTCTCTATTTAAAAATACAAAAATTAGCTGGACATGGTGGCGTGCACCTGTAGTCCCAGCTACTTGGGAGGCTGAGGCAGGAGAATCACTTGAACCCTGGAGGTGGAGGTTGCAGTGAACCAAGATCGCACCACTGCACTCCAGCCTGGCAACAGAGCGAGACTCCGTCTCATAAAAAAAGAAATGCTCATCGTCAGTAACCAGAGAAATGCAATTCAAAACCACAATGAGATACCATCTCACAACATTCAGAATGGCTTTTATTAAAAAGTCAAAAAATAACAGATGTTGGCGTGCCTGTAGGAAAAGGGGGGCACTGATACACTGTCGGTGGGAAGGTAAATTAGTCCAGCCACTGTGGAGAGCAGTTTAAAGATTTCTCAAAGAACTAAGAGTTCAACTCCTATTCAACCCAGCAACCCCATTACTGGGTATATACCCAGAGGAAAATACATGGTTCTACCAAAAAGATATATGTAACCATATGTTCATTGCAGCACTATTCACAATAGCAAAACTATGGAGTCAACCCAGGTGCCTATCGATGGATTAAATAAAGAAACTATTGTACATATACATTACAGAGTAATATGCAGTCATTAAAAAAGAACAAAACCATGTTCTTTGTAGCAACATGGATGCAGCTGGAGGCCATTATCCTAAACAAACTAATACAGAAACAGAAAAACAAATACCTCATGTCCTCACTCATAAGTGAGAACTAACCATTGAGTATACATGGACATAAAGATGGAAATGATGGACTCTTGGGATTATTAGAGGAGGGACAGAAAGAGTAGGGCAAGGGCTGAAGAAACCTATTAGGCACTCTGCTGGCTACCAGGGTCACGGGTGCAATCATACCTCAAATCTCAGCATCATGCAATACACCTTCATAACAAACTTGCACATGTACCCCCAGATTCTAAAATAAGAGCTGAGAAAAAAGAACATTCTAAATAACACAAATTATTTTAATAAATTTAAATGCAGTATAATAGCATATTTTTATCTAAACTTCTAAATATGTAAAATGGGAATGATTATGTTTTACATTGTCTGAAAACATACATACTGGGGAATAGAATTTTTGCATGAATTTAGAATGTCAAACCAATTAGAAGGCTAGAAAATTAGTCTGGTGTGCACATTTTAAGGAATGGAGTTTAGGAAAATTGAGAGATCATATCTATGAGGCTAAACCGAGAGGTTAATTCAACCAGGTCTGCCTGACCTGCTAGCTTTTGGTTACTTGCTCTTGTTTTGTTTGGTTTTGGTTTTGGTTTTGGTTTTGTTTTGTTTTGTTTTGTTTTGTTTTGTTTTGTTTTGTTTTGTTTCAAAGAAGTTGAAGGCTGCAGTAGCTGAAGGCCATACCACTGAACCTTGAAACTTAATCTTCACTGGCTACTTTATAGATAACATTCATAGGTCACTATGATAATGGTTGTTTCAGTTGTTTTTCAGGAACTTGGGCCAGTTCCTGTCCAATTAAAACTGGTTGAGACCACTGATTCTTCAGCTGACCTGAACAGGTGCCTGAAAGGTGGCATTTGCATGTGGGAGGGCCAAAAACTTCACCCTCAAATCATGCTAATGCTTCCATTTTCTATACATACGTCCTGCGAGATGCTGTGAACTCCAGCTGTGCTTGTGTGAAATGAACCTGTTACTTCATGTTTCCCCACCACCAATTACTGTTTCCTATGCCTTAGACCACCCCACTCACCTAATCCATAAATTCTACAAGCCTCACCTATTCTCCTCCTTTCTGTATTGGTGTTCTTGCAAATAAATCTTTTCTCTTTCACAAAACCCATGTCACAGTGATTGAATTATTACATGCAGGCAGAGCAGACCTGCACCTAGCCAGTAACAAGTCTACTGAATATGTACAAAAAGAAAAATTTGAATAAAATATGTGGAATAAGTTTTTTATTATAATAGGCATATATGATGGTGGTGGTTATCATATTATTAAAGAGTGCCTATTTATACCATATGCTGTCAGTATCGTCTTGTTTATCATCTACTATGTATCTAGTGTTGAAATAATGTCTTTATGTGTGTGTGGACAGTACATAGAAGCAACAAGGTTTACCCAGGTGAAATTTCTAAGCGAAAAAATAAAGGTACAAGAAAATAGACATTTAAATGGCCATAGGCCCAAGTACTGTAAGAGCGTGTACGTGTGCTGTAGCAGATGAGAAAGGGTCCCAAGAGAAGAGCTGGTCTGCTTCAGTTAGGCTAGGTGATTTAGAGTGAAAGAGAAGGGAGGGAATTCCAAAATAGGATAACAGAAAGGGGTAAAAATTTAAAAATACAAAAAAAATGATTCCAGAGGAAGAAACCACTTTCTCTGAATAATAAGAATAAAATCTGGCTGATTCTAGGGTGAGAATTTTAAGTAATCAAGAGCACATTGGCTTCTGAACCCATTGTTTTAGTCAACCTGGTAAATAACAAATGTGATTGAACACACCTCAGAGGAAAACTTATTCAACTAAGCATTTTCATAGAATATATTTCTGAGGTTAAAATTTCAAGATTAAGGAGTTATTGAGTGTAAAAATAAATTCTATATAAAATAGAGAAATGCTTTTCTGTGCCATAAGGAATTATCTTACAAATACACATCATATTTTACATTTGTGAAGAGCCAAGAAGGCCCATCTGTGCTGCAGTTATTATTTAACCATCTAGAAAGAACTCAAGCTTTGTGAGTCCTATATTTGGATAAACACTTCTGATCCCTGTATAACTAGCTGCTCTTTTGTCATGGACACTTTTAACTTCCTCTTCGTAAGTCCTATATTTTTGTTAATTTTTACTAGCACTTCCTACACATCGCCTGTGTTCTTATGAAATTTGGGCTAATACCATAAAATAAGTTTAAATCTTATCATTTCAAAGATACAGAATCCTTGGGGGAGTGAGAGTGGCGAGTGAGGCTTTCTCTTTTTACTTTATGCACCTCTGTATTGTTTGAAACTTTTAACAAGCATTTATTGTTTTTGAAACATTTTAAAACTAATAAGTTTTATAGTGGTAGAATATATACAACATATAATGTATCATTTTAACTGCTTTAAGTATACAATTCAGTGGCATTAAGATACATTCACATTCTTGTGTAACTGTCATCACTAACCATCTCCAGAATTTTTTCATCATCCCAAACTAAAACTGTATACCCATTAAACAACTTCCCATTCTACTCTTTCCACAACCACTGATGACCATTATTTCACTTTCTTTCTCTATAAATTTGACTATTGTATGTACCACATAGTGAAATCCTACAGTATTTGTCTTTTTATGAGTGGCTTATTTTACTCAACATAATATCCTCAAGGTTTATCTATACAGTATATTATATCAGGATTTATTTTCAAGGCTGAATAATATTCCATTGTATGTATATTTTATCCCTTCATCTATCAATGGGCAATTGGGTTGCTTCCGTGTTTTGACCATTGTAAACGATTTTGTTGTTAACATGAGTGTGTAAATATCTATTCATGTCTCTGCTTTCAGTTCACCTGAGTATATGTCCAGAAGTGTAATTGCTGGATCATATGTAAATTTTTAGCATAAGTTTTAAGAAAAGTGCCATAGTTTTTCTCATACCAGCTGCACCGTTTCATTCCCACTAGCAGTGCACAAGAATTTCATTTTCTCTACATCATTGCCAATGCCTACTTTCTGTTTGTTTGATTGTAGCCATCCTAATGAATGTGAAGCAGTATCTTATTATAGTTTTGATTTGCATCTTCCCAATGATTAGTGATGTTGAGCATCTTTTGTGTATTTATTGGTCATTTGTATATCATCTTGGCAAAATGTCTATTTAAGTCATTTGCTGGTTTTTTAATAGGGTCTTTTGTTTTGTTACTGAGTTTTAGGAGTTTTCTCTATGTTCTGATATTAATATCATCTCAGACATGTAATTTGCAAAAATTTTTCACATTCTGTGGGTTGCCTTTTTACTGTGTTGATAGTGTTCTTTAATGCACAAAATTTCTTATCATTGAAGTTCAATTTGTCTATTTTTTATTTTATTGCTTGTACTTTAGGTTTAACATTCAATAAATCAGTTCCAAATCCAATGTCATGAAGCTTTCTCCCTTTGTTTCCTTCTAGGAGTTTTATAGTATTGGTTCTTACATTCAGGTCTCTGACCCACTTTGAGTTAATTTTTGCATATGGTATTAGGTAAGGGTTCAATTTATTATTTTTGCACATGGATACCCTGTTTTCCTGCACTATTTGTTGAAAAGACTTATCCTTTCGACAATGAATGGTTCTGGCACCCTAGTCAAAAATAATTTGACCACGTACATGAGAATTTATCTCTGGACTCTATTCCACCGGTCTACATGTCTGTTTTTATTCCAATACCACACTGTTTTCATTATTATAGCCTCATAGTAAATTTTGGAATCATGAAATTGAAGTCCTCTACTTTGTTCTCTTTTGAGATTGTTCTGGAAAATAATTACTGATAAGGAAGGACCTCTTTCACTTTGTTATTTGTTTTCTATATACCTTACAGCATTTTGGGCCATCATTTTCTGCATTACCGTCTTGTGTTTAGTTGATTTTATATAACGAAACTTTCTAAATTCTCTTATTTCCTTTTTTTTCTGAATTCTGTAGCTATTTTCTTTATGGTTACCATGGGGATTACATTTAATATCCTAAAGTTATAACCCTCTTATTTGAATTTATACCAGCTTAATTTCAATTGCAAACAAACACTGTGCTCCTACAGAGCTCCATCTCCATTCCCTTTCAGTTACTGCTGTCACAAAATTATATCTGTATGCATTATATATCCAAAACTTAGATAAATAATTTTTTGTCTCGTTAATCATGTAGAGAACAAAAAAATGGAGTTACAAACCAAAGTTACAATGATACAACAACTTTAGTTTGCTCTAATGATTATGCTGAGGATTAAATTTATAAACATAATTTATAAGCACTTTGATTTAGAGAATATGGTATGGCTACATATATTAACAATTAAATATGCAATGGCAGCTGAAGCTTATAGGTAATTATACATTTAATCATTTTTTCATTTGAAATTACATGCTTACTAGAAATAAAATAATTTTTAAAATAGAGACATGGTCTCAAGCTGTCACCCAGGCTGGAGTGCAGTGGCATGACAATAGCTCACTGCAGCTTCAAACTTTTGAGCTCAAGCAATACTCCCATCTAAGCCTCCAGAGTAGTGGGACCACAGGTGCGCGTCATGGCACCAGCTAATTTTTTTAGTTGTTTTGGTTTTTTTTTTTCCTTTGCATGTGTGTATGTAGAAACGGTCTCATTATGTTGCCCAGGCTGGTCTCGAACTCTGGAACTTGTGCAATCCTCCTGCTTCAACCTCCCAAATTGCTGGTATTATAGGTGTGAGCCACTGTACCCAGCCTAAAATAAAATTGTGTTTAGAAAATTTCCTCAGAACATATTTCCATACAAGTAATGATTCAGTTAACTCATTCTATTACGATAAATCAATACACATTAGTTTTAAATCTCTTCTCACACGGTGGTTGATTTTTCTCTTTACACTTCAATAGAAATGTTTAAGCCCTGCAAAATGTTCTCAGTTCTAAGATCTATGTCTTCGATATGTTTTGAGATCTCATGAGCAGATTATACGAAATGTATTAAATAAAAGATACTATAAAAACAAAACACCGAATACATATCACATTAGAGCCAGAGTTCAGAAGGACGGTTTGGCTCTAAATGATTATGTTTCCACCTAACTGTTATATCAAGCAGTTCTCTTCCATCAATCTCCAGTTTTAATTATTGCACCTGTTAAAGGCCAATTCATTTCAGTTTCTGTCTGCATTATACTTCAAAACATAGGACAATATCAGTAACTTCAGTTGTTTTTATAAAATTTATGTTTAAAAGATGTTTATTTAGACAGTTTTTATTTCAGAAAACTGTCTGGTTTATGATCAAGTACACAGCTGAGTGCTAATTTTAAGTTCAGGCTTTCCTTATGTAAGTGTAATTGGAAAAGTGAACTAGGCAATAAAAATGCTTATCCAGGAAGAAAGAGTATTGTTTCCCAAAGAGCAATACAAACAGTGATAATTCTATCATTTAATAAATATATGAAAATTAAAAAGCAGCTACCAAAGTCATATACAGTCATCTCTTGATATCCATGGGAAATTGGTTCCAGGACCCCTGTGTATATCAAAATTCATGGATGCTCAAGTCACTGATATAAAATGGCATACTCCATAATGGTATCCTAGGTTTTCTCCTAGGGTTTTTATAGTTTGAAGTCTTACATTTAAATCTGTAATCCATCTTGAGTTCATTTTTGCATATGGTGAAAGGTAGGGTCCAGTTTCATTCCTCTGCATATGAATAGACAGTTATCCCAGCACCGTTTATTGAACTGGGAGTCCCTTTTTTACTGATTATTTTTTTCATGTTTGTCAATGATGAAACAGTTGCAGGTGTGTGGCTCTATTTCTAGTTTCTTTATTCTGTTCCATTGATCTATGTGTTTGTTTTTGTACCAGACCATTGTGTTCTGGTTATGGTGGCTTTGCAGTATAGTTTCAAGGTGGGTAATGTGATGCCTCTGACTTTGTTCTTTTTGCTTAGGACTGCTTTGGCTACTTGAGCTCTTTTTTGATTCCACATGAGCTTTAGAATAGTTATTTTTCTAATTCTATGAACAATGACATTAGCAGTTTGCTAGGAATAGTATTGAATCTGTACACTGCTTTAGGCAAGTATGGCCATATTAACAATATTGATTCTCTCAATGCATGAGCATGGGATGTTTTCCAATTTATTTATGTCATCCATGATTTTTTTTTCAGCAGTGTTATGTAGTTCTCCTTGTTGAGATCTTTCATCTCCTTGGTTAGCTGTATTCCTGGGTATATTATTCTTTTTGTAGCTATTGCAAATGAGATTGCATTCTTGATTTGGCTCTCAGCTTGAACATTATTAGTGTATAGAGATGCTACTGTGTCATTTGAATGATGACTTTACTGAAGTCATTTATCAGTTCTAGGAGCCTTTTGGCAATGTAGGGTTTTCTAGGTATAAAATTATATTGTCTGCAAAGATAAATAATTTAACTTCTTCTTTTCCTATTTGGATATTTTTTATTTCTTTCCCTTTCCTGATTACTCTGGCTAGGACTTCCAGTTCTAAGAGCAGTGAAAGAGGGCATCCTTCTCTTCTTCCTGTTTTCAATGAGAATGACTCCAGATTTTGCCCATTCAGCATGATATTGGCTATGGCTTTGTCATAGTTGGCTCCTATTATTTTGAGATATGTTCCTTCAATGCCTAGTTTGTTGAAGGTTTTTATGATGGACAGAAATTTGATTTTATAGAAAGCTTTTTCTGTGTCTATTATCATATGGTTTTTATTTTTAATTCTGTTTATGTAGTGAGTCACATTTATTGACTTGTGTATACTGTAACAACCTTGCATCCCAGGAATAGATCCTACTTGATCATAGAAAATTAACTTTTTGATGTGCTACTGGGTACAGTTTATTAGTATTTTGTTGAAGATTTTTCCACCCATGTTCATCAGGGATATTGGCCTCAAGTTTTCTTTTTACTTTATTTTTTAATTAATTCATTCATTTATTTTTGAGACAGGGTCACACTCTGTCACCTAGGCTGGAGTACAGTGGTGAGATCTCAGCTCACTGTAACTTCTGCCTCCCAGGCTCAAGCAATCCTCCCACCTTAGCCTCCTAAGCAACTGGGACTACAGGTGCACACCACCATGCACGGCCAATTTTTGTATTTTTTGATAGAGACAGGGTTTCACCATGTTGGCCAGGCTGGTCTCAAACTCCTGAGCTTGAGTGATCCACCCATCTTGGCTTCCCAAAATGCTGAGGTTACAGGTGTGAGCCACCACACCTAGCCAAGTTTTGTGTGTGTGTGTGTGTGTGTGTGTGTGTGTCTGCCAGATTTTGGTATAAGGATGATGCTCACCTCATAGAATGAGTTAGGAAGGAGTCCTTCCTCCTTGATTTTTTTGGAATAGTTTTGGTAGAATTGGTACCAGTCCTTTGTATATTTGTTAGAATTTGGCTGTGAATCTACCTGATCCAGGGTAATTTGATTGGTAGGTTTCTTTATTACTGATTCAATTTCAGAAATCAATATTGGTGTGTTCAGGGTTTCAATTTCTTCCTGATACAATCTTGAGAGCATGTGTGTGTTTCCAGGAATTTATCAATTTCCCGCAGATTTTCTAGTTTGTATGCACAGAGGTGTCTATAATTGTTTCTGAAAATCTTTTGGATTTCTATGGGATCAGTTGTAATGTAGCCCTTGTTGTTTCTTATTGTGCTTATTTGGATCTACTATCTTTTTTTTCTTTATTAATCTAGCTAGTGGCTTGTTGATCTTTTTTATCCTTTCAAAAAACTAACTTTTGGTTTTGTTGATATTTTTCATCAAATTCTGGATCTCAATTTCACTCAGTTCTGCTCTGATTTTAGTTATTTCTTTTCTTCTGCTAGCTTTTGGGTTAATTTATCCTTATTTTTCTAGTTCTTCTAGGTGAGATTTTAGATCATTGATTTGAGATATTTCAAACTTCTTGATGTAGGTGTTTAGTGCTATAAACATTTCTGTTAACACTGCTTTTGCTGTATCCCAGATATTTTGGTATACCATTCTGGACATCAGCCATGGCAAATAATTTATGGCTAAGTCCTCAAAAGCAATTGCAACAGAAACAAAAATTGATATATGAGATCTAATTAACTGAAGAGCTTCTGCACAGCAAAAGAAACTATCAACAGAGTAAACAGAAAAACTGCAGAATAGAAGAAAATATTTGCAAATTATGCATCTAAAAAAAGCCTAATATCCAGAATCTATAGAAAACTTAAACAATTCAACAAGTAAAAGTCAATTTACCCCATTAAAAAGTAGGCAAAGGACATGAACAGAAACTTCTCAAAGAAGACATACATGTGGCCAACAAACTTAGAAAAAAAGTGCTTAACATCACTAATCATCAGAGAAATGCAAATCAAAACCACAATGAGATATAGTCTTAGACTGGTCAGTATGACTTTTGTTAAAAGATTAAAAATAACAGATGTTGGTGAGGCTGCACAGAAAAAGGAATGCTTATACGCTGTTTGTTGGAATGTAAATTAGTTCAGTCGCTGTGTAAAGCAATCTGGAGATTTCTCAAAGAATTTAAAAAGAGAACTACCACTCAACCCAGCATTCGAATACTGGGTACAAACCCAAAGAAATACAAGTCATTCCACCAAAAAAGGCACATGCACATATATGTTCATCACAGTTCTCTTCACAATAGCAAAGACATCAGATCAACCTAAATGTCATCAATGGTGGAATGGATAAACAAAATGTAGAACAAATACACCATGGAATACTATGCAGCCATTAAAGAGAAAAAATTATGCCCTTTGCAGCAAAATGGATGCAGCTGGAGGTCATTATCCTAAGCAAATTAATGCAGGAACAGAAAGCCAAATACTACATTTCTCATTTATAATTGGGAGCTAAACATTGGGTACTCATGGACATAAAGATGGGAACAATAAACACTAGGTACTACTAGAGGGAGGAGTGAGGAAGTGGGGGAAAAGGGCTAAAAAACTACCTATTTGGATACTATGATCAATACCTGTGTGATGGGACCATGGGTACCACAAACTTCAGCATCATACAACATACCCATGTATCAAAACTATACATGTATCCCTGAATCTAAAATAAATTTGAGCTGGGTATGGTTGCTCATGCCTGTAATCCCAGCAATCTGGGAGGCTGAGGTGGGAGGATCATTTGAAGTCAGGAGTTTAAGACCAGCCTAAACAAAATGGTGAAACCCCATCTCTACTAAAAGCAGTGAAAATTAGCCAGGTGTGGTGGTGAACACCTGTAATCTCAGCTACTCTGGAGGCTGAGGCAGGAGAATCACTTGAACCTGGGAGGTGGAGGTTGCAGTGAGCCAAGACCACACCACTGCACTCCAGCTTGTGCAACAGAGCGAGACTCCATCTCAATAAAATAAATTAAAATAAACATGGAAATTATTTTTTTAAATGACATAGTATTTGCATATGACCTATATACATCTTCTTGTATACTTTAAATTATGTTTAGCTTACTTATAATACCTAATACAATGTAAAATCTACATAAATAGTTGTAGTATTCTATTTTTTATTTCCATTAATTTTTTACTCAGTATTGTTAACTTTTATTGTGTTTTTTCTTTTTTTAATTTTTGATCCACAGTTGGTTGAATCTGCAGATGTGAAACCCATGAACACAGAGGGCCAACTCTAGTTTCTATAGATACATTCAAATCACACTAAGGTTTGTAATTTCAAATATCAGGCCAAGTGTGTTGTCTCATGCCTGTAATCCTAGTACTTTGGGAGGCCAAGACAGAAGGATCACTTGAGCCCAGGAGTTCAAGACCAGCCTGGGCAACATAGGGAAACCTTGTCTCTAAAAAAATTTAAAAATTAGCCTGGTGGGGTGGAATACACTTGTGATCCCAGCTACATTGAAGGCTGAGGTGGGAGGATCGCTTGAAGCTGGGAGGCAAAGGTTGCAGTGAGCCAAGAGAGTATCACTGCACTGTAGCCTGGGCAACAGAGCCAGACCCTGTCTCAAAAAAAAAAAAAAAAAAAATCTTACATTCTAAAAGAACTCGAGCATCAATATTAATGGGACATAATGAAGACTGTTGTCTAAGATCACAGTTAAAGAGAGTAAGAGTGCACCAGCTACAATAACAACTCCTCTCCTTCCTCACACGGCGTACTCCACGTGGAGGCAGACATGCGTAGAGAGCTAGTGCTGCAAAGTGGTGCAGAGCAGGCACCCAGAGCCAAGGCCAGGCACAGGCCATCTTTGCCCTCAGACCTTGTGCAAATATCTTAACCTCTCTGTGTCTTAGTTTTCTCACTTTTCAAATCAGCATAACAGTAACCTCTACATCAAAGGTGCCGAAAATTAAATGTCAATAGATATACCGAGAGGAGCATTTGGTATGCACATAGTGAGTACTTTAAAAGTGTAAGTTACTGTTTTTATATGTTGAAGTACAGGAGAAACACATAAGAATGAAAGAGTATATAGATTGTTATGGGTTGAATTGTGACTCCCAAATTTCATACGTTGAAATTCTAATTCCTAATACTTCAGAATGTGACCTTATTTGGAGACAGGGTCATTGCAATGTAAGTATTTAAGTGGAGGTCATACTGGAGTAGGGTGGGTCTTTATTGCAATATGACTAGTGTTATCATAAAAATGAGAAATTCAGATGCAGACACATATAAAAGAATGCCATGTAAAGATGAAGGGAGAAATAGGGTGGTATTATACAAACCATGTAAGGCAAAGGTTGACGTAAAATCACCAGAAGCTAGGAAAGAAGCATAAAACATATCCTGTTCTGTTGCCCTCAGGACCAACCCTGATTACACTTTGATCTTGGACTTCTAGTCTGTAGAACTGTGAGACAATATATTTAAGATACCCAATTTGTGGTACTTTGTTACAATAGTCCTAGAAACTAATACATTGATCTGAAACTGGTAATCCACAAATCTGTCCATATTCTTGATTTTCTAAAGTAGAAGTGAAAAGAAAAAAAGAAAGACTTTCCCTGTTATACCCACCAAGTTTTTACTGTTTGGTAAATGGCCACATACATCATGTTGTTTTGTCAGCCTCACACAAGCCAGTAAGAGAGCCTCTGAGTGAACCCTTGAGAGATACCGAGGTTACCAGCAGGAATGGAAGACTGGCCTTCATCCACGGACTGGAATCACAAGGGGCTCCAAACATCCATCACCCGAAACTACCATGGACAGAACCCTGGGTGCGAGCCATTGAAAAGCCAACATTTGGAGATGCCCCCGAGTTCTAGGCTGGTGCCCCCTTCTTGGCAGAATTCCATGACATTGGGCTTCCTTGATGTATTTATATTACATTGTTTAAAGAAACATATCTCTGGAGTCAGATTACCCTGGTTAAAGCCACGACTTCCTCATTTACTAGAGATGCTACCTTGGACGAGATGCTACCTTGGACAAGATGCTTAATGTTATTGTGTATCAATTTCCACATTTTATTAAAGTGGGTATTATATTAATAGACTTTTGCTTATAGGTTTGTTGGAAAAATTAACTATAATGTAAAGGGTATAGGATAGTGGCTGGCATATAGAAAATATGCAATAAATGTTATTCTATAATTTATTATTATTCTGTAATATAGCCTTCCAAACACACTTGTGTTTACTGTAATGTGGAAAAAAACTCTCAAAAACTTGGTCAAATAATTGTTACATGGATGTTTTGTGTTCAGCATTGTGACTCAATAGAGAGACCACATTTGGCAGAAAATATAAGAACTTCACAGTCTCAGAAGAAGTAGGAACATTCTTCAAACCCCTTACTTCATCGTGCCCAGTTTTTTTTTTTTAAAAAAGTGTTACCTGGAGTCAGAGTAAAGAGTTGGGACTGAGTGGTGAACAACCAGGGCAGGACAGTTGTCCTGAAGGAAGACACCAATAGTAGCTCAATCCCTGAGCCTTTAGGGATTAAGGAACCTGAGCATGAGATTTCCACACTAAATGCCGATAGGGAAAAAAAGATAGAAAGAGGTTCCTATTTGTGAACCATGGCAACTGGCAAAGCAGAGGCAATCCATCTTTAGAGAAAAGCTATCCTAGTTTTACCATATAGATCTTTCATGAATGAAGTCTAAGCAATGAGTCCATAAGGATTGACCAGTACGAAAGAAGGTGATCTACTATGCATGAGAGTCAACAGAAATATAGAATGATATTCTTAGTTCTTCAGAGATCCCAGATATTGGAAATGCCAAATACAAAATAGCAAACAGCTATTACAGTATTACAAGTAAACAGTATTACAAGTATTACAGAAATAAAGGAATCAGTCTCGATGAGCATGCAACACAGATCATCAAGAATAAGTAGGAAGCATGATTTTAAAATAGAATATTTAGGGAAACCACAAGTATGCAATTTTGAATTTAAAAATTCAATAGATGGTTAATAGTAGTTTAGAGATAGATGAAACATTTAGTGAACTAGAAGATATAGAAGACATATCAAAAATTGCACGGAACGCATCACACACAAAGTTCAGAAAATGGCAAATGTGTACAAACCTTAAAAGATATGAAGGATAGAATGAGAATAGGATGTGTATATCTAATCAGAGTTTCATAAGAAGAAAAGAGAGACAATATTTGAAAAGACAAAGAATTCAAATATTCTAAACTAATGAAAAATGTAAATCTGCATGTACAGGAATATAATATTCACAGGTAGATAAATTAAATCTTCCAACAAAAAGCATAAACACTGGAAAATGCCAATTAGAAGCTAATTAAACTGTCTTAATATGCAAATGATATGACTGTCTACCTAAAATCTCCACCCCCAAAATCTACAAATTGTTAAAATGATAAGGATAATTTAGATAGGCAGCTGAACAGAAGATGTCTATACAAAAAATAATCTTATAAAAGCCAGCAACAAACAAATTTAAAAAATGTAACATTTGTTATAAAAAACCACTAGAATATATCAGATTTCATCTAAAGATACATATCACTGATACAAAGAAAGTCATGTAAATTTATTTAAATATATTTCAAAGGCCTACATAATATAGATCTAATTTCATTAAATAGAATCATTTTTCAGTTCTCCCCAAGTTGATCTAAACACCCAATATAATTTCAATAAAAATTCCAGTAGCACTTTTTGTGAAATTTGACAAAATTATTCCAGAATTAATTTGGAAAAGCAAAGGGCAAAAATAGGTCCAAAACATTCCTAAAGAAAAAAAATTAGGCATATTCTAGAAGATGTAAAAACTTATTATAAAGCCATAAAAATTAATATCGCTATTTTTTCAGGTATCCATACATTGATGAATTGAACAGAGAACCTAGAAACAGGAATTATGAACAAAAAAATCATTGAAGATCATTAGAAAAAGTGGTACTTATTCAATACATGAAAATAGGATATTGGGTTGTATAACAGAAAAATGCACAAAAGATATTAATAAAGTATTATATAAAAGAACAAATACATATGGCTGACATGAAAAGATCAACTCATTAATGATCTTTAGAAATACAAATTATGGCCACAATGAGATGCTGCTCTTTTACATTTATTAGATTCGCAAAATCTTAGAAACCTGACAAGATTAAAATGTTCACATGGGTATGGAATAACTAGAACACATATTCTGTGGAAACTGTCATTGATACAACATTTTGGAAAACAATTTGTTTTCCATTTTGTAGGAAGTGTGAAAAAGCATAAATTCTCATGTAAGGAACTTACATACTGTCCTTAAACATAGAAAATCAAGTTAGTATTTGGTTCCCATTACACACTGAAATTCAGCCAAATGTTTTACAAAGAGGAAATTATCCATTAAAGTAGACATATTTCATCAGCCCCATTGTTCCTCCCTATGAGATAATAATATAAAACTGCCAGTAAATGCAGGGTAAGAAGACTTGCCTTTCCAGAAAACCTACTTAAAATCATAGTGTTTTCCTAGTGGTTTAGTTGGCTCTCTAATTGGAGCCCACATGGTTTCAAATGGCAGCTAAAAGCAGGGCAGTCAAAGTATGCTCACTCGAGGTTGGCATTATAAACGATAACTTGAGAAGATTCACATCGTGATGAATGTCAAATTTACAAAAAGACCATGTGATGACTCAATGGGTTGGCTAGAAACATCTGTTACTGAAATAATAGAATGTGGCAAGGTGGAGCTTCTCCAAAGATAAAATAAAAACTCTCTATGGCCTTAAACAGGAATGTGTTCAGAATGCAGTTGAAATGTCAGTCTTTTTTTGTGCAAATCCATTGAGGCAACCTACAAATTACTTCTCTGATTCACGAGTAGCATTAAAAACTTGGACCTCAGTTGGGCACGGTGGCTCACTCCTGCAATCCCGGCACTTTGGGAGGCCGAGGCAGGCAGATCACCTGAGACCTGAGATTAGGAGTTCGAGACCAGCCTAGCCAACATGGTGAAACGCCATCTCTACTAAAAGTAAAAAATTAGCCGAGCATGGTGGCGTTGCCTGTAGTCCCAGCTACTCTGGAGGCTGAGGCAGGAGAATCCCTTGAACCCGGGAGGCAGAGGTTGCAGTGAGCCAAGATCACGTCACTGAACTCCAGCCTGGCAGCCTGGGTGACAGAGCAAGACTCTCTCTCAAAAAAAAAAAAAACAAAAAAAACCCAACAACAACAAAATGTGGACTTTGGGAAGAGACAGGGAACAAGAATCAAAGTATTTGTCTTACAACATTTTATGAAAACCTAGTCAGATGTTTTATTAGGAAAATAAATAAAACAATAAAAAGCATCATTCTTCTGAAAAAAGCACAAAATTAGCCTATTCTGAACAACAGGAGTAATTTTAATCCAGAGTTACATTTAGTTTCTTTTTAATATAAATGTATAAAATTAAAACTAAACCATTAGAAGCTGGCTATGCAATATATACATTGTTGAAATATTTTATTAATGTATTGGCTTGTGAGTCCCAGTGCACTCAATGCTATTAAAAGAACATCCAGAAGTTGTGCTCGAAATCTCTGTGGAAAATGCATGCATTTTCTTCCAGTTTCCTTAAAAATCATCACACTGTGGATATTTATAAACTTCATAAGATAAAACACACACAGTGAAAGTAGGGACCATATTTTGAGAAGTTATTTGTTTTGGACCGTCTCCATATGTTAGTTTTTTTGTCTATAAAACAATCCTAAGAGGTTATCATTATTAATTCCAATTTACAGACAAGGTAACCCAAGTTCAAAAAGTTTAAAAACTTGCATTTACTAAGTTTATAAGTACAAAATGTCAATTTAAACCAAGATTGTCAAGGTTCGTGTTTTTCTTATTATTCTATACTGCATTCATTCCAAAGTCAGGCTCTCTTACCCAGCACAAGTCCCTAAAGGATTAATTTCTGATTTTGCTCATGCCCTGTTCATCACATTTATTTGTTCAATAAATATTTGTTGAGTACTTTCTCTATGCCAGTCACTATGCCATGGATTTAGGATAGAGAATTACGGATTATAGAATGTTTAAAATTAGAGAATATTTATGGCCAGGTGTACAAAAATCTCTAGAGTAGGGAGACACCTGTGAATGCAATTGCCCAAAGAGAACTGACTTTGGCTGCCAAAAAAAACCTCAGGAAACTAACAGCAGGTGTTCTCTGGGAAGTAAAATAAACTGTGAATAATGCTTGTCCTTACAAATAAGCAATAACCAACTGGCAAGAATGGAAGGGGAGAGGATGGCTTTAGAGTTAGAAAGGTTGGATTTATAGTCTCAGCTCTGCCCTTTATGAGCTATGAAAACCTGGACAATGAAATGAACCTTTCCATGTTTGTTTCTTCAGCTGTAAAGCAGGAAAATAATACTAGTCAATTTCTTGAAAAAATTAAAAGAAAATAGTGCTGTGGTTTGAATGTATGTGCTTCCCTTGACCTCAAAAAATATTTGTATGTTGAAACCCTAATCACTGATGTGATGATGTAGATGTGGCCTTTGGGAGATGATTAGATCATTAGGGTAGAGCTCTCATAAATAGCCCCCTTATAAAGAGGCCCCAGAGAGCTGCCTGGCCCCACAGCAAGAAGATATCACTCACGAGACACCAAATTTACCAGTGCCTTTATCTTGGTCTTCCCATCCCCCAAAACTGTGAGAAATAGACTTCTGTTGTTTGTGGGCCATACAGTTTATGGTAT
Organism: Homo sapiens; assembly: GCF_000001405.40. NCBI lineage: Eukaryota > Metazoa > Chordata > Mammalia > Primates > Hominidae > Homo > Homo sapiens. The sequence continues at coordinate 228,268,397 of NC_000002.12, read as the reverse complement.
TTTGTTGTAGCAGTCCTAACAGACTAGAACACACATAAAGCTTCAAGCACACAGAAGATAATCAAAACCTACCGCCACTATCATTTTTATTTCCCTAAACCTTCCCTTCAAGTATCTAGAACCTACTCTAATATAGCAGAAAGTCATCATCCACTTAGTTAAAGGAAAAACATTTTAACATAACAGTTTTCAGTTCAGAACTTTTACTTTTGGAAATACAGACACAAAAATAAATCCAAATTATAAATACATTTTTCTTGAAAACTATGTTTTTTTTTCATTTACATGCTAAAGTACACTATAAAAACATTTGAAGTTTGTTATAATCCTTTAAAAGTTTAAGAGCTCAACACCCTGGATTTTGCTCTTTCATCTTATTTGTAATTAGGCCCCACGTATGGGTCACCTGCCAGTGAAGATGTGGAACTAAAGCTTCCTTCTTTCCTTTTGTCCAACAGTCATCCTCACCATTGGCTAACCATTGAAAGCACCTGCAGAGCTTTTAAAACTACTGTTGTCTGGGTCCTCATTCTCAGAGATGCTGATTTCATTGTCTGGGACGAAGCCTTGACATCAGGATTTTTAAAGCTCCTCAAGAGATTCTATCTATGTACAGTTAGGAATGAGAGCCACTGCCTTGCCCATCCCTCAATAAGTTCATGATATACTTGCCACTGACTGATTACAATTTCATGTGTGGGTTACAGTAGTAGAGAAAATTAATGAACTGCACAATAGAGCTGAGGAAATTACCAGCATGCAGCACAGAAAGAGATGAGGGAAAATATGAGTGCGAAATTAAGAAGCATGGAGAATAAAATAACAGGTTTGACATGCTCTGTGTGTCAGAAGAAGATAAAGATAATAGGATAGGCAATATCAACATGTCTAAGAATGTTTTGGTTCTGGAGGAAGATAAAAACCTTCAGTTTGAAGAAGCATGCGGATACGGTTTGACTTTGTGGCTCCACCCAAATCTCAGGTTGAATTGAAATCCCAATGTTGGGAGAATGATCTGGGGGGAGGTGATTAGATCGTGGGGGTAGATTTCCCTCTTGCTGTTCTCATGGTAGTGAGTGGGTTCTCACAAGACCTGGTTGTTTAAAAGTGTGTGGAACTTCCCCCTTTGCTCTTTCTCTCTCTCCTCTTCCACCATGAGAAGATTGTCCCTGCTTTCCCTTCACCTTCTGCCATGATGATTGTAAGTTTCCTGAGGCCTCCTCATCCTTGCCTCTTGTACAGCGTGTGGAAATGTCAGTCAATCAGACCTCTTTTCTCCATAAATTACCCAATCTCATAGCAGTGTGAGAATGAACTCATACACACGCCAAGCTGGGAGCGAGAAGATGTCTTCCTCCCATACCTGATGTTTCCTTTCAGGTGTACAAATGTCATTGATATGACCCAACACTGGCCTTTATCCTCCCTCTAACTCATATTTCCCTTGGCATATTAGTCGAGGTTCTCTAGGGTAAAAGAACCACTATGGTCTATATAGATGAGAGGACATTTATTATGAGAATTGGCTCATGGGATTATCATGGATGAGAAGTCTCACAATATGACGTCTGTAAGCTGGAAGCCCAGAAAACTCAGTGGTATAATTCAGTCTCAGTCTGGAGGCCTGAGAACTGGGGGAGCCCATGGTGTAAGTGCCAGTTTGAGGAGGAAAACCTCAAAACCAGGGTGGAATGGAGGGGAAAAAGTGAGCACTTGTGTAAGTCCTAAGTCCAAAGGCCTGAGAGTCATGAGTTCTGATGTCTGAGAGAAGGAGAAGATAAATGTCCCAGCTCAAGAAGAGAGAGAAAGAGAATTGCTTTCACCTCCAAGGCAAATCCCTCAGGGGATTAGATGCTGCCTGCACATATTGGTGATGGCAATCTTCTTCACTCAGTCCACTGATTCAAATGCTAATCTCTTCCAGAAATACCCTCATAGAAACACCCAGAAATAATGTTTCACTGTTACCTTGGCATCCCTTAACCCAGTCAAGCTGATGCATAGCATTAACTATCACACCTCGGGAGTGATTTCTCTGGCTAGCAAATATAGAAAAAGCAGCTGGATGTGCTCGATAAGATATGCTAAGATATGCTGGATATGCTTAGCTCTTTCTTCTTCCTCACTGAAGCCAACTGCCCAGGGAAGGCTTACCTGGGCCGGACCTGGCCTTACCTGAGGCCAGACCTCTTTTCACAGTAGTTGCTCAGTCCGGTGCTGCCTGGAACAGGACTGGTGAGTCTGTCTAATTCTGAGGTAAGAATGTAACGAAGTGGGAACTCACATACCGATGGAGGGCGTGTAAATTAATACCACCACCTTTGGGGGGTAACTTGACAAACAAATCCTAAAGTTGAGGATGCACATTATCTACGCACCAGCAATTCTGCTCTGGAATTGGATATAATCCCATGAAACTCCCTTGCAAGTGGATATTAAAAATGTGTAAAGGTCGTTGATTGTGGCAGTGAGAAAACTACTCAAATGCCTGTCAATAGGTATACAGTATAGTCACACAGTAAAATAGTATACAGTGTTAACATTCATGAACTACATAGATTGGTATGGATGTGGATAAATCTTAAAATATTGAGTGAAAAAATGCATTAATTAGTGTTACAAATTTTTTAAACAAACATATATATATTTCTATATACAAATATATATTATATATACATATATAAATATATATATAAAAGTGGCTTATAGTGTGTGCTAAAAAAATACATAAATAATGTTATATATAGTTTATGAGTATGTACATATATAGTAAAAGTAAATAATTTAGATGGAGAAGATCATCTTCACGACTGTGGAGGGGGTTACTTCTGTGGAGGGTGTGAACCTCGACAACGTGAGATAGGTCTCAGTTAATTTAGAACGTTCCTTTTGCCAAGGCTGAGGACGCATGACCAGGACATAGCCTCAGGAGGTCCTGACGATGTGTGCCTGAGGTGGTCAGAGCACAGCTTGGTTTTATACATTTTAGGGAGACATGAGACATCAATCAATATATGTAAAATGAACATTGGTTTGGTCCAGGTCACAGGTAGGTGAGAGTCAAACAGTTGCATTCTTTTGAATTTCTGATTAACCTTTCCAAAGAAGGCAACGAGATATGCATTTATCCCAGTGAGCAGAGAGATGACTGAAGAGAATGGGAGGCAGGTTTGCCCTAAGCAGGTCCCAGCTTGAATTTTCCCTTTAGCTTAGTGATTTTGGGGGCCCAAGATCTTTTGATCATTTTCTTTCACAAGGGAAATAGAACAGTTATATATATATATAACTTTCTAGGCAAGCTGGAAATATATAGAATATATTTCTATATATTATATATAGAAATATATATATTAGAACAGAAATATATATAATATAATATATATAATATAATATATTATATATAATAAATAATATAATATATATAATAAATAATATAATATATTACATATAATATATAATATATAATAAATAATATAATATATTACATATAATATATAATATAATATATATAATATAAAATATATTACATATAATATATATAATATATAATATAATATATTACATATAATATATATAATATATAATATAATATATTACATATAATATATATAATATATAATATAATATATTACATATAATATATATAATATATAATATAATATATTACATATAATATATATAATATATAATATAATATATTACATATAATATATATAATATATAATATAATATATTACATATAATATATATAATATATAATATAATATATTACATATAATATATATAATATATAATATAATATATTACATATAATATATATAATATATAATATAATATATTACATATAATATATATAATATATAATATAATATATTACATATAATATATATAATATATAATATAATATATTACATATAATATATATAATATATAATATAATATATTACATATAATATATATAATATATAATATAATATATTACATATAATATAATTACATATAATATATAATATATTACATATAATACATATAATATATTACATATAATACATATAATACATATAATATATTACATATAATACATATAATATATTACATATAATACATATAATATATTACATATAATATGTAATATATTACATATAATATGTAATATATTACATATAATATATATTACATATAATATGTAATATATTACATATAATATATATTACATATAATATGTAATATATTACATATAATATATATTACATATAATATATAATATAATATATTACATATAATATATATAAGATAATATATTACATATAATATATAATATATTACATATAATATATATAAGATATTACATATAATATATATAATATATTACATATAATATATAAGATATTACATATAATATATAATATAATATATTACATATATTATATATAATATATTGCATATAATATATATAATATATTGCATATAATATATATAACATATTGCATATAATATATATAACATATTGCATATAATATATATAATATATTACATATAATATATATAATATATTACATATAATATATATAATATATTACTTATAATATATATAATATATTACATATAATATATAATATAATATATATAATATATAATAGAACAGAAATATATATAATATATATATAATAGAACAGTTACTATATATATAATATATATATATATAAAAATAGAACAGTTATATATATATATAACTTTCCAGGCAAGCTGGAAATATATAGTATATATATATATAAAAATAGAACAGTTGTGTATATATATATATATATATATATATATATATAACTTTCCAGGCAAGCTTTCCTTTCTCTGAACTTATGTCCTATTTCATCCTAAAAGAGGTGGCCATCCTGGTTCCACTCCACTCCACCTTACTAGATGAGAATGTCCACATTTTGGGAAGCATCTGAAACTTCTTCTGCTCTCCCTTCCACCCTCTTTGACAGGTCTCCTCTTTGAGGAGTCATTGAGCCTGTGGGTGAACTAGGGAGTGAATGCTTCCTTTCTTCTGTGTTTTCTGAACAACCTCTATACACCGTCTGCATCGCTGTATGGCAAGCTTATGAGGCAGTTATGTCTGTGAGTGATGAGGTGAGTCTGCACAGGTGGGTATTAAAATAGCGAAATGTTTTGGCCACTGATCCAGTTCAGCTCTGCTAGTGTGCCTTGTAGCTTAATTCCCATCTGTCTGTCTCTGGAATTCTTTACTCAATGTTTCAGAGCTTGGAAGCAGAAGAGAAAGTTGCTGTTAGTCTTCTAAAATACCAACATCTCCATTGTGAACACTTAAGAGGACAGGATTTGAAATTCTAGGATACATGTATTACATCCCCAAAGGGGTTAAGATCTAAATAATAAATGGAATGTGTTTGTAATTTAGTCATAAACAGATAAAATACTATTAATGCTATAATAACAATGATAACATATGCCAAACCCTAGATTAGGTATTTATATTTCAATGTCTGGCAAAAGTTCTATAGCAAAGTCATTGTTATCCTCATTGTACAGTTGAGACAACTGAGTTTAAGCAACTTTAAACAAAGGTGATAGAAGTTGGATATGACAGAGGCATTACATGATTCCATATCTATTCTATGTCCTGCAGCAAATGAGCCTAGAAATTAACTTTGCTCTGAGTCAGGGAGTGGACAATATCCTTTGGGAGATCACTAGTATTATGAAACAAAGAGAACTTGAATTTTCTCATTAAATCACCAATGCAACTCTTTGGAAAGCCAGTAGAAAAGCAAATAACTGCTCTTCTTTTTATGTGCGCCAATCACAATCATGATTGTTTCGAAGCTCTTCATAGAGAAGCATGCACCAGGCAAATAATTTCATGGTAGAGTAAAATTAAGATTGCATATTTCACCCTGCTATGTACTGGAAAGTTACATAACATTCGGGAAACACGTGTGGGTTTGATTATGGTTTTTGGCAATTTTTGCAAGGGAGGTGAGATGTAATAAAATGGTCTCACTTTAATACATCAAAATGTGTTGAAAGTAAAGTGTGAAAAAATATTCTCAACCGAAAAATATCAAAATTGATTCAAAATATTACTGGGAGACGCTACTGGGTTGTAGGGGTGCATATGAGGACTGTTTTTTTTAGTTTTGAGAATCCAGTGCATCTGGACCCCTTGTGTTTTTGTAGTGCTGAAGACTGGATTGCATGTATTAATGATTTTGTGTGTGCTAAAGTATATGTATTGACATTTCCTGGCCATAGCAATTGCTAATTATGTGTGTGTCCAGAATGGACAAAAAGCCCAACCACAAGCGATAACAGGTTTGGAAAATTTGCCCTCGGTATCCTAGTTCTGTATGAGATTTTCCTCACAACGAACCTCACTCTGCCTCATCTCCTAAGTGCACAGTGACCTGGTGCTCTTCCCTCCTCTTGTTTCAAGGATGTTGCATTACAAAACCCCGGGGGCACCATTCATAGACGGGTTGTACCTCCAGAGGGGTACCATTTATGTAAACTATAATGTGAAAGGCCTTCCTGAGGTTGTGCCACCTGGTGACCCTCACCTGACCACCTGTTTACCTTCCTAGCCTCTTCTGCACCCCACTGGCTCTTTGCACGTGGCCTTTCAGTTCCTCAAATGTGCCATCTTCGTGCTATCCTACAGCCTCTGCACTTGCTCCTCTCTCACTCATTCATTCAACACACGCTCTCAAAGTGTTCTCAGCATGCACTCTTCTGTACTAGACACCAAAGCGGTAACCAAACATCGATGATGTAGAGAATTATTCATTTCTTGCCTGTCTGGTTTCATCATAGGCAAATGAAATAATCCCAAATCAAACACATTCAGGGTTCAAATAAAATTAAACAAGTATACAACAAAATGGCACGCTATGCATTTCATGATATTTTTGTAAATGTTCACTGAAGAGACAGATGTACTTGAGGAAAGAATGTGTATGGTAATTAGGACACTGAGTTTTCAGTCATCAAAATCCATCTTAAACTGGTTTAACAGAAAAAAGGTGGGAAGTGAGTTTGAAATGCACATGCAACCAGAAAATCCGAAGTGTGGATCTGAGACCCAGCTAGATCCAGGGGCTCAAATATTATATTTTGAGCTTTCTACCCATTCCCTTTCTGTTTTTCAATTTCTTCTTGGGTTTGCTTGGCTTCACTTGTTGGCATTAGTCATGCCTGTTTCAGTCAGGCTTTTGTTTCCTTGAAGGTCAAGATCTGCGTCTTAGCAAAAAGAAGAGAAAGTCTTCATCTCAGCAACTATGCATCAAATGCATGGATAGACTGTCTGGGTCTGTTTCGTTTCATCACTGTATGTAGGAGGATTGAATACCATGCTTAACCAGGCCTGGGTAGCATGCTCACACCTAAACGAATAGAAGCTTAAAGTACTGTAATTAATCATCCCTTCACAGTAACATGAATGGAGGATGACTGACTTCCCTACAGAAGTGGCTGTTCTTATCTAAAGTAGATGGAAATGGAAACGTGTACTATACAGTTAAAACTATCGCTGCCAATCTTTATTTTGATTACCCTCAAAACAGAGTCTAAAACAAGGATGTGGGTATGGTTCATTCCAGAGAACACAAGTGAGGAAATGTAGGAAGTAGGAGAGGGAAGGAAGAAAAACCAATAAGGAATAAATTAATGCACAGGTTTCTGCTGTAACTAACCGGGGCTTCTTTATAGTTAGAACTCTCCAGAAACCAGGTAGAACATATCTCAGAATTGGCAACTAGAAGAGAGGAAAGTGGCGGGGAGGGGGCTATTCCCTGGCTCACCCTCTGTTGGTTAATGGTTGCCCCTGGGCTGTTAACTCTCCCTGCTCCCAGTAGAACAAGAAAGTTCTCAGGCAGAGAACAAGGGAGGTACCCAAGGTAGGCATCTGTCCATGCCAGGAGTGGCAGCTGCAGGTGGCCAAGGGGATATGGAGGGAGGTATGAGCCATGTGTGCTACAGTACCACAAACCACTGCCATACAAAAAATGACATCTGAAATAAAGTGTGCAAAAAATATCAGTCTAATGAGATGCAGGAAGAAGAAAATTATAACTTTTTAATATTTTTTCATTTGGGGCCCTCAATCTATCACTAACAGAAAAATGTAAAATTTTCTCTACTATTTATCTAATGTAATAAGAAATAAACTAGTGTATTCTAATATTTAGTGTACAGACCAACACTGGCACCCTCGCTTAGTCACCTGTGGTAAGCAAGATCTCCTAAGAGAGAAAGGGGTGTCACCCAGCTATCAGTTACAAGGTAACCGGCTGGCTCATCCACTGGCTAGGCATTTCAAGTTACTGGAGCTTACCCAGTGCTCAGTGAAGTTGATTTACAGATAGTATTGTTACTAAATTGACACTCACAAAATGGAAAAGTGGCTTACAGTGTGTGCTACAAAAAAGCACCAGAGGGAAGAAAATGATTATAACATAACAAAGGAACAAGGAAATGCAGAGATGGGGTGAGAAAATGTATACTATAATACATACGATTTCAACCCTATGTAACTTACTTGGGCTTTAACTGTGGTCACTTTGGGAAATGTTTTCTGTGTGATTGAGAAAAAAATGTGTATTACACTTTTGCTCGGTGCAATATTTTATTTATATAAATTGAGTCCAAATTGCAAATCATGCTGTTCAAATTGGTTTTACCCTCTTTATGTTTGATGACTCATTGTATAATTCACTCAAAATGTTTTAAAATTTCCCATTATGATTATGGGGATTTTGTTTCTGCGTGTAGTTTCTGACATCTTTCTTTCTGCAGTTTGAACCTTGTTATTAGGTTCATAAAAATTTAGAAACATCGCATATTTGTTAAATAAACATTGTTGCGATGAAGAAGGAACCACTTTCACTCCTGCAAAGTTTTTTACCTTCAAGTAGATTTTTCCTGATATTAACATACCTGCATCATATTATATCAGTTAGTGTTTGCATTGTGTGGCTTTTTTCAATTATTATTAGTTTTTTGTGTGTGTTTGATGGAGTTTCGCTCTTGTTGCCCCCGCTGGATTGCAATGGCATGATCTCAGCTCGCCGCAACCTCCCCTCCCGGGTTCAAGTGATTCTCCTGCCTCAGCTTCCCTGCTAATTTTTGTATTTTTAGTAGAGATGAGGTTTCTCCATGTTGGTCAGGCTGGTCTCAAACTTCCGAACTCAGGTGGTCCGCCCACCTTGGCCTTCCAAAGTGCTGGGATTACAGGCATGAGCCACTGTGCCCGGCCTTTTCAATTATTTTTTATTCAACCTTTCTGGATCTTAAACTTTCAGGTAATTTTCTTCTATTTCTAATCCATTATGGCAACTTTTGTCTTTTAACTTTTACATGTATTCGACTTCCATTAAATTTAAGTTACAGTATCTTGTGGCATAAATCTATCAATTTACTATGTCCTTTATTTTTGACCAACTATTGAATTTTCCTTTTTCTCTTCTTTTTTGCCTTCCATGAACTGATCAAATTTTTAGTATTTTATTTCTCTCTCTTCTCTGAATTAAGAAATTATGTTATTTAGTGCTTACCTGAAAAATAAAACATACATTCTTGACTTATCAATGTCTAATATTAACTGATTCTTTGACACTCCTCCTAAATAAGTCAAGAATCTTAGAAAAATTTTACATTAATAATATGCTATTGTTACATATTTTATTCTCCATATATTTTAAACCACATAACATGTTATTGATGTTTTAGACAATAAATGTATATTTAAATTTGTATGTATATTTATCTTCTATATCTTTTCATTCTTCTGTCTCCAAATTTCATTCTCGGATCATTTTTATTCTCCTTGAAGAACGCACTTTCTTCTCTATTTTAGGCTCTATTTGGAAGTGACAAATCTCTGCTTTATCTCAAAATAGTTTAATTTAACCTTTTAATAATGTGAATTCTTGATGGGCTCTTATATTCGTTCAACCCACGTAAGGACACTCATTGTTTCTATTCAGTATAGTGTATTCATTTTTGTATGTAATCTGATGTTTTAAAATTCTGGTTGTCCTTAAAATTTTGGCTTTCTTATTGTTTCTCTGCAGTTTCTCTAGGATGAACCTACATGATAAATTATTTTTATTTTTCTTGTGGGATTGACTGGGCTCTGAATGTAGAATTTATGTCTTTCAACTATTTTTTAAAACATTTACTCATTATTTCTTTAAATGTATTTTCTAACTCATTTCGTCTCTGTTCCTTCTGCCATTCCAGGTTAAAAAAAAAAAAAAGCTTTCTCACAGTATCATGTGGTTCTCTCACCCTGTCTTTGCAATTTTCCATCCCCTTGTCTCATCGTGCCTCATTTTAGATGGTGAACTGGCATAATAAGAAGTAGAATAAATAAAGTAAGAAGAAAATAATACACTCTGCAGTTGTGTCTAGTCTATGAGTAAACTCATACTTGAAGACCAGAATTTTGGTTGCTGTAGTTTGCAGTTCTAAATTTGTTCTATTTATCTTTCCATTGTCTTCATCCAGAGGGTTAATCACTGTACCAATTAGAGTTCTCCAAAGAATAATAAGAATACATATATCTATATAAACACACACACACACACACACACACACACATATGTACACAGACACAAAGACACACAGGCACACATTAAGAGATTTCTTTCAAGGAATTGTCTTACATGATTATGAGGAAACTGGCAAGTCAAAAACTTCCAGAAAACCCTCAGGCAGGAACTGATACTGCAGTCTTGAGGAAGGATTTTCTTCCTCAGAGAAACCTCAGTTTTGCTCTCAAGGCCCTTCAACTGATTGGATGAGGCCCACCACATTATCAAAGATAATCTACTTAAAGTCAGCTGATTGTAGATGTTAACCACATCTACCAATGCCTCCACAGCAACAGCTAGATAATGTTTACTTAAAAAATAGACAGCATAGCTAGCCAAGTTGACATATAAAACTAGCTATTACAATCTGTATTTTCTAGTTTTCTGTCATCAGAAGCAGAAAACCACCACCTTTTCAAGAAACAACTTTTCTGTGTATTCATGGAAAGTCAGCTTCTGGATCTCTAAGCAGGTAGGAAACCTGACTGGCAGGCTTCTCAGCATCCACTCTTAGTCTCCATCCTGAAGCTATATTAATGCCAGCAAGCCTATGGGCCTAAGGGACACTGACTTTACCCTGGCTCTAGAATAGAAGGGGTACATTATAGCAAATTTCATAAGCCTCAGAGCTCCTCCTTTGCAAGAGCTCCTTCCAAAGCTCTGGTGGGAACTAGTAATGAGCTCATCTGGCAAATATTTTTGCAACATTTGCAAAAGTTATTTTAATAACAATTGGTTAAGGCTTCTGTCTTTAAAAAAATATTGTAGAATTGTTCCAAGCATTTAATTAAGAAAAATACTGTTATTAAGAAAGAACAATTAAGTGCTTGGAACAATTTAAGTATTTAATTTAGCTTTTTAAAATGTGTATTTTTAATTGCAGCATTTGTTAGCTTGTTAAAAGGTGTAATATTTCTATCCTTGCTTTACATTAATATTTATACCTAATGCTATACAGGCAATTTCAAATTCTTTTTCTTAAAGATCCCTCCCCCAACCCAAATAATATAGCTTTGGATTCCACAACACTTGAATGTGCACCCAGCAGTAATTGTTTCAGGAATATTTAGGAGCCCATTTGAATCAATGGGCCAGGAAAAGGTATCACTGCAGTTTTCAAGGCAGGAAGAAATTGTCTCTTTTTCTCTTTCTCTAAATGTTTCATGATGAGCCACAGAAATAAATAAATTTCACATCACAGCTCCGTGCACACATTGTCTACATATAACAAAAGTTGTATAAAAGGTATTTATCTTTACCACATGTAATTCATTCTGATATTTTCAGATTCTATTCTATTCTATTATTTTCCCTTACATTAGTTTATTTAAATGCTGGTCATGATGGACTATATTGTTTATAGATCAGCTGATGGGTCATCAACACATTATGAAAAGCCCCACTCTAAGGTTAGGGTGAAGAGGTGATGTCTGGAGCTGCTGGAGCCATTTGGCTATGAAAAGTTAAGTCAGCCAAACAAAAGCAAAGCTGAGAGGATTATAGAGAATTAGATGTAGGGGTGTCTCATTACTTCATACCTGAAGCTTAAATAGCTGTGGAATTCTCATTCACTTGTGACCTAAACCCTTTTATAGTGTTAGAATAAAACTAATTTAAAATGACATGTCACTGAATATTCATTATTATTTATTGAATATTTATTGACTATTAAGTAGCAATACTCAAAGCTACTTTAAATTTGTTATGTGTTATTCTGGTTCTGGAAATTAAAAGCATCCTAGATGTTCTGCATCCAATGACGTATAGAGATTGATTCCTTACTGCATCGTGAATAGCAGTCTGAGTGGTATCTGGGTTTTTAGGGTCTTTTTCATTTCCTGCTACCACTCCCTATTCCATTGTCATTATAAGCCACATCCTTTGTCAGCACAGGTTCTGAAGAAAGGATGAGTAAGCATATATAATCTCCAGGAGTTTCACCCATAGTATAAACTATATTATCACCCATGCCATTTTTGACATTAAAAAAATCTGTTTGGCCGGGCGCGGTGGCTTATGCCTGTAATCCTAGCAATTTAGGAGGCTGAGGTGGGTGGATCACAAGGTCAGGAGTTCGAGACCAGCCTGGCCAATATGGTGAAACCCCATGTCAACTAAAAATATAAAAATTAGCCGGGTGTGGTGACGGCAGCCTGTAGTCCCAGCTACTCGGGAGGCTGAGGCAGGGGAATCACTTGAACCCAGGAGGCGGAGGTTGCAGTGAGCTGAGATCATGCCGCTGTACTCCAGCCTGAGCAACAGAGAAAGACTCTGTCCCAAAAAAAAAAATCTACTTGACTTCAAAAATATTAAATATATCATAATGAAATATAATTATGTGTGTTTTGTTTTTTAGTAAAATTTCAAAACTATCTCAGAATTCAGCACAGTCGCTGGATCTAGTGAATTCTCATGATAAAAAATGCTTTGCCTTAGAAATCAAGTTTCCTAAGCAAATGCTCTGCATATATTTGTGTATGTAATATAATTGTTGATTCATCATGTCTCACAGCAGTTTAAAATAATCACCTTCAGCAAGATGAAAAAACATTGAGGCAATTATACAAGAGCATGTTTTTGTGTATGTCAAACTTTCAACTATAAAAGGCAGATGAAATAGGTTCCAGAAAGCTATAAGCTAAAAAGGAAGGAAAGGGGACAAGCGGTGAGGAAAACAGAGTGAAAGATAGATAATCATCTTCTGATTCCCCAGAAAGCTGTTCAAACGTGTTTGGCTTCAGCATAAAGACACCTTTCTGTATTTTACTTTTGAAAATGTATAAAATAAAATATATTTCTTTTTTCATACAATAATAGATTATTCCAAACACGGGTGTATTAATTAACCATGAGACAAGGTTAAATGGACATTTAATGGAACTGTGATGACACAGAATTGGCACTCAATAAGCATTCGTTGAGTGAAAGAGGAGCTGAAATGAGATCAGTCTAATATTAGGTTGTTGCGAATAAAATGTATAATAATCGTAGGAAAATCCAGAAGCATATGACTGCATTTCAACAAATCTTCAAAATCTTACTTTTGTAAAATATTTGGACAAATGTGTATCATCATTCAAGAACAGGAAAAAGGATATTCATGCTTTTAGCCTGCCTCCACCACCTGTCAATAGCAAGATAATATGTAAAGATCAACGCTGTGGGCTTTAATTCAAGAAGAAAATGGGACTCCACTGGAACTGTGAAGGACACCCCAGATCCAGGAGAGAAGAACTTGGGCGAATAGCCTCCATGACAGCATAAAAAAAGTGAATGAAGTCCTAGTATGTGAATTGGGCAGAGAGCCTCCCTCTCTGACTCAGGGGAGTCCTTTCCACAGGGGATCCAAGCAAACCAAGCCAAGAGAGAGCACTTTGTTTCTCCCAAGTCCTGGAGCTAACTTGGGGAGAAGATCGGAGGCACTGAAAGGGAAAGCCACTGGGAAAAGCTGCAGACATTTCTCCAGACCCAGGATCAAGAGTAGGATGCCATTTTTAATCCAGGCACATACAAAGTCAGCCATTCTTTGGCGATTGGACAGTGCACCCATGCAGGCATTGCTGTCTCAGGTCAGAGATTGGAGTACTTGCTCTGGAGCAGGTTAAGGACCTCCCCAGTTAGAATTGTGGAAAGCACCACAGTGGTAAGTACTGGAATTGTGCTCTCCTCTGTTGCAGGCCTGAGGCAGGAGGAGGAGCTGCTATAGCTGCAGTTTCTGCTGGACAATGAGACTTGCAGCCAGGGCCATCTTGGCAACCTAGCACTGGCCAGCCTGCTCCTGAGATCGTGGGGTTGGGCAGGGAGCTCAGACCACTGTGCACTCTATGGATTAGCCCATTGCCTGAGGCAACAGAGAGCTTTTCCTGGTAAACAAGGATCAAATATATACACAGCCACATTGGCCACATCCAGCTGTTATGCTTAAAGGCCATCTACTGCCTTGTAGATCACACCTCACAGCCCGATATAAAACCTGCTGAAAGAAGTATATAGGGCTATAGAAGCAAAGCCAAAAGTCACTATCCAGCATCCTCTACCATAAGGACACCTGGCAGGGGAAGGGAAAATAATAATAATAATATTATAGTGAAAGAAAAATAAAAGAAAAAACTCTACCCACATGAAAATAATTAATAAAAATGCCAGAGTCTCCAGATGGGAAGAAACCAGTGCAAGAATTCTGGCACCATGACAAATCTGAATGTAATGACACCACCAAAGAATCGCAGTAGCTTTCCAGCAATGATTCCTAAACATAATGGAAACTCAGAAATGACAGATAAATAATTCAAAGCAAGGAAGCTCAAGGAAATCCAAGACAAAGTTGAAAATCAACACAAAGTAACTTCTAAATCAATCCACAAAATGAAAAAAGAAATAAACATAATAAGAAGAAATCAATCAGACCTTCTGGAACTGAAAAACTCACTCAAAGAATTTCACCAATTGACAACTTTATAAATAGACCAAACCAAGCAGAAGAAAGAATTTCAGAGCTTGATGACTGGTCTTTCGAACTGACCCAGTCAGACAAAAATAAAGAAACAAGAATTTAAAACATGAACAAAGTCTTCAAGAAATATGCGATTATGTAAAGTGACCAAACCTATGAATTATTGGCATTTTTGAAAGAGAAGGAAAAAAGTAAACAACCTGGAAAACATATTTGAGGGAATAACTCAAGAAAATTTTCTTAATATTGCCAGAAAGGTAGACATTCAGATACAAGAAATCCAAAGAAAAACTGTGAGATAATATTCAAAACAAATGTCACCAAGGCATATAGCCACCAGACTGCCCAAGGTCAACACTAAAAAATTCTTAAAAGCAGCTAGAGAAAAAGATGGAATCGTATACATAGGAAACCTCAACAGGCTAACATCAGGCTTCTCAGGAGAAGCTTTATAAGCCAAGAAAGATTGGGAGCCTATTTTCAGCATTCTTACAGAAAAATTCCAACCAAGAATTTCATATCTGAAAAAGGAGGCAAGATGTGTGACTAGACGCAGGGAGAAGGAACACCTGCCACTGAGAGACTGGAACACTGGGAAGATTGGCACACTGTGAACAGAAAGGAGGCATTGAGGGTGGATGGAGAAAGGATACAGATGCTGGGCTAAAAGGAGAGGAAGCTGGAAACCCTGCATGGGCCTACCATGCACAAGGACTCATTCCTGGCCCCCAGTGACTCCTGGAAAAAGGGTAAGTTGAGCAGATGAAGAGTGACCCACTGTTGCTATGGACCTCTGGAATCCTGGCAGAAGGAGATCCCACAGCTTCCATGGAAAATTGAGCTGGCAGGGAGAGCTACTTAGAGGGATGGTAGAGGCAGGACTCCAGCCTGTGCAGAGCCCACAGGGTTTGGTGCAGGAATGTCTGCAGGGGAACGTGGCCAGTGACACACATCCCCCAAGGCTCACCATGTTCCTCTAGGAGACTCCAGCCTTAAGGGAACTGTTGGTTCTGAACAAAGCAAGGCGATCTTGCTCATAAGACAGGACCAGTCTGACCTGAGCACACTTTCATCTACTGGCCTTTCCCTGGGCCCCAGCCTGGCCATTCCTGCTGGAAGTGCAGTCTCAGATGCTCAACTGGGATGACTCCTGGGGGCCTGCATCATAGCTTCTGCAGTGGCAGACCACGCCTGACCATCAGAAAGCTCCAGAAGAGCAGCCCCCACTGAAACACACCACCCACCAGCACCCTTTCCCCATGGCAGCTTCCCCCTTGTCACTTTTAGGGCATGCACACACCCGTGATCACCCATCCATTGCTTTACCAGCACACATGTGCATTGGTGGACCTTACCACCTCTTCCCCCACTGTTGTATGGGAGCACCCACCATCCCACTGCACTGCCATTGCTGGTGCAAACATGCATAAAGACACAAGCATTACCTTTCCCCACCTCATGCTGCCACTGCCATAAGGGTGAACGCATGCAGAGATAACAATGGCCCCACCTCCCACTCTGCAACACCACCTCCTCTGGTATGAACCTACATATGGAGGTGATGACCCCTGTGCCTACCAGCACTCTGCCCTTGCACTGACACCACCATGGGTGTGAATGCACACAAGGACCCCAGCAGCCCTCTTCCCTTTAGCTCCTTTTCCCCTCACACCACCACTGCTGCCATTGCCAATGCCCATATGGAGACCAACAGCCCTGGGCCTGCTGGTGCCCCATGCCAGCTGACAAGTGTGCACCCCACCCCACTGCCACTGCTGCTGGCATGTGCAAATGAGCACACATCCCACTGTCATCACCCAACAAAGCTCCTTGGCTGGCACTGCCCTTCAGAATTTCGTGGCCAATGGTCTAGGAACACCTTGGCCCCTCTAGTGCAAAAGGTTCTCAATCTTGAAGGGCCAGAGAACAAAGCCAGAGGCAGGATACCAGCCTCTCAGAGTTGGACCACACAGCTCAGGAGTGCTGAGCTGAACATCGGTTCCCCAAAAAATCTACCAGAAATGAAGCCAGTCTACTGAACCCACCTTATAACACAAGCAAACCCCCAAGGACATAAAAGAAAATAAAAGAAAAAAAATTCTAAAGAACAGCAACTTCAAAGATTGAAGGAACATCAGCCCACACAAATGGGCAATAATCAGTGCAAAAACTCTGGCAACTCAAAAATCCAGTGCCTTCTTACCTCCAAATGACCACACTAGTTCCCAGACAATGCTTGTCAATCAGGCTGAAATGGCTGAAGTGACAGAAATAGAATTCACAATATGGATAGGAACAAAGACCATCGACACTCAGAAGAAATTTAAAACTCAATGCAAGCAGTCTAAGGAATAAAATAAAATGGTATGCAAGATAAAAGATAAAAGGGACATTTTAAGAAGAACCAAACTGAGATAATGGAGTTGTAAAACTCACTTCAAGAATTTCAGAATACAATAGCAAGTATTAACAATAGAATCTATCAAACTGAGGAAAGAATCTCAGAATTCAAAGACCAGTTGATATGGTTTGGCTGTGTCTCCACCCAAATCTCATCTTGAATTCCCATGTGTTGTGGGAGGGACCTGGTGGGAGGTAATTGAATCATGGGGCAGATCTTTCCCATGCTGTTCTCATGACAGTGAATAAGTCTCATGAGATACGATGGTTTTATAAGGGGGAGTTTCCCCACACAAGCTCTCTCTTTGCCTGCTGCCATCCATGTAAGACGTGACTTGCTACTGCTTGCCCTCTGTCATGATTGTGAGGCCTCCCCAACCATGTGGAACTCTAAGTCTATTAAACCTCTCTTTCTTTTATAAATCACCCAGTCTTGGGTATGTCTTTATCAGCAGTGTGTAAATGGACTAATATACTGAATCTCTGAAATAACTCAGTCAGACAAAATTAAAGAAAAAACAATTAAAAAGAATGAAGAAAACCTATGAGAAATATGGAATTATGCTGAGACAAAATCTATGACTCATTGGCATCCCCGAAATACAGGAAGAGAAAGCAAGCAACTTGGAAAACATATTTCAGAATACCATCTAATAATTTCCCCAGCCTCACTAGACAGACCAACTTTAAAATTCAGGAAACGCAGAGAACCCCTACAAATAGGGCACAATAAGACCATCCCCAAGATATAGATATCAGATTCTCCAAGGTCAAAATGTAAGAAAAAACGTTAAAGGGAGCTAAAGACAATGGACAGATCACTTAGAAAGGGAACCATATCGGGCTAACAGCAGATCTTTCAGGAGAAACCCTATAAGCCAGAAGAGATTGAGGGCTATATTCAGCATTCTTCAAGAAAAGAATTTTCTGCTGGGTGCTGTAGTTCACACTTGTACTTCCAACACTTTGGTAGGACAAGATGGGTGGTTCACTTGAGCCCAGGAGTTCGAGACCAGCCTGGGCAACATGGCGAGATCCTGTCTCTACAAAACAAAACAAAAAAACAAATTATATATATATATATATATATATATATATATATATATATATATATACACACACACACACACACACACACACACACACAAGTCAGGTAAGGTCAGCAAAGAGTGATGGTTTGACTCAATTTCCTATTTGTATGCCTTTGATTTCTTTCTCTTGCTTGATTGCTCTGGCTAGGAAGTCCAGTACTATGTTGAATAGGAGTGGGAAGAGTGGACATCCTTGTCTTATTCGGGTACTCAAGGGGAATACTTACAGATTTTGCTCATTCATTATGATATTGGTTGTGGGTTTGTCATAGTTGGCTCCTATTATTTTGAGATATGTCTCTTCAATGCCTAGTTTGGTGAGGGTTTTTATCATGAAGGAACGTTGAATGTTATAGGAGGCTTTTTTCACATCTATTGAGATAATCATAGGGTATTTGTTTTAAATACTGTTTGTTTATGTGGTGGCCACATTTATTGATTTGCATATGTTGAACCAACATTTTATCCCAGAAATGAAAATCTAAAGACTCCACCAAAAGGCTGTTGGAACTAATAAATGACAGTAAATTTCAGGATACAAAACTGATATACAAAAATTAGCAGTATTTCTATACAACAGTAATGTTCAAGCTGAAAGCCAAATCAAGAACACAATCCCATTCACAATAGCCACAAGAAGAATAAAATACCTAGGAATACATCAAGCCAAGGGGGTGAAAGATCTTCACAAGAAAACTTACAAAACACTGTTGAAAGAAATAATAAATGACACAAACAAATAGAAAAATACTCCATGCTAATGAATTGGAAGAATCAATATCATGAAAATGACCATAATGCTCAAAGAAATCTATAGATTCAATGCCATGCCTATCAAACTATCAATATCATTTTTCACAGAATTAGAAAAAAAATATTGTAAAGTTCATATGGAACAGAACAAGAGCTTGAATAACCAAAGCAATCCCAAGCAAAAAGAACAAAGCTGGTGGCATCACATTACCTGGCTTCAAACTATATAAAACGTTACAGTAATCAAAACGGAATGGTACTGGTACAACCCAATACAAAAATATAGGCTAATGGAACAGAACAGAGAACTCACAAATAAAGGTGCATCCCTACAACCATCTACTCTTTGAAAAAGTGAACAAAAATAAGCAATAGGAAAAGGACTCCCTATTCTATAAATGATGTTGAAATAACAAGCTAGCAATATGCAGAAGAAAGAAACTGGACCCCTACCTTTCACCATACACAAAAAATAACTCAGGATACATTGAAGATTTAGATGTGCAACCTCACACTATAAGAATCCTAGAAGAAAACCTAGGAAATACCATTCTGGACATCAGCCTTAGGAAATAATTGATGATTGAGTCCTCAAAAGTAATTGCAACAAAAAACAGAAATTGACAAATATGACCTAATTAAACAAAAGAGCTTCTTCAAAACAAAAGAAACTATCAACAGAGTAAACAGAAAATCTACAGAATAGAAAAAAATTCAAAACTGTGCATCTGACAAATGCCTAATATCCAGAATCTGTAAGAAACTTTAACAACTCAACAAACAAAAAACAAATAGCTCCATTAAAAAGTGGACAAAGACATGAACAGACACTTCTCAAAAGAAGACATACATGTGACCAACAAACATATAAGAAATGCTCAATATCACTAACCATCGGAAAAATGCAAATTAAAACCACAATGAGATACCATCTCACACCAATCAGAATGGCTGGTAATAAAAAGTTAAAAAATAACAGGCGTTGGCAAGGCTGTGGAGAAAAGGGAATGCTTATACATCATTGGTGAGAATGTAAGTTCATCCACTGTGGAAAGCAGTTTGGAGATTCCTCAAAGAACTTAAAACAGAACTACCATTCAATCCAGCAATCCCAATACTGGGTATATCTCCAAAAGAAAATAAGTTATTCTACCAAAAAGACACATGCACACATATGTTCTTTGCAGCACTACTCACAATAGCAAAGACATGGAATCAATCTAGATGCCCGTCAACATTGAATTGGATACGGAAAATGTGTTACATATACACATGGAATACTACACAACCATAAAGAGAATGAAATCATGTCCTTTGCAGCAACATGGATGCAGCTGAAGGCCATGATCTTAAGGGAATTAATGCAGGAACAGAAAACCAAATACTTGATGTTCTCTCTTGTAAGTGAGAGCAGAGCATCGGATACTCATGGACATAAAGATGGCAACAATAGACACTGGGGACTACTGGGCAGAGAAAGAGGGATGAGAGCAAGGGTTAGAAAAGCAAACTGTTGGGTATTGGCACACTATCTAAGTGATGGGATCATTCATATCCCAAACCACAGTGTCACGTGATGTACCTATGTAACAAACTTGCATATATATTTCCTGAATCTAAAATAAATAGAAAAATATAATTATTATTATAGAATGGTTTAAAATGAATATATAGAGAATTCCAAAAACAGTTTAAAAACCATAGATAACCCAGTAAAAAAGGGGGAAAGATAGATGAGAAAATAATTGCATACACAGAAAAAAGCCCTACTAGGCTAAGAAAAAAGTAAAAAGATGTTTAATACCATAAGTTAAAAAGGACATTACAACTGCAATGATGGGTCATCATTTTATGAGATACAAGTTGGTACCATTCAATTGGCAAATTTTAAGTCTAGTAAAACCAAAGTTGAATAGAATTCTGAACCACAAAAATCTACTGTGCATTGCTATTAGAAGACACTTAGAAAAACAATATGGCATTATCTCCTAAAGTTCAACTTTCATGTACCTAAGGCTCAACAATTTCACTCCTAGAAATAACCAAAGACAAACCTGCTGAAAATCAATAGAAATCAACAGAAGAACATCAGTATCAGCATTGCTCACTACAGCAAAAACCTGGAGACCTACCAAGTGTCTATCAAAACAGAGTGAACGAATTAAACTATTCACACAGTAGAATACTAGATAATGGCCAAATTGAATGAACTATAACAACCTGGAACAACATGAGGAAATCTTAGAAAAATAATAGTTGAAAAAATGAATATCAAAAGGTCAAAAATTACATACCACATACCATTTTACGAATTAAAAACAACTAAAATAAAAATATACTTACTTTTTAAGAAGTATCTATAGATGTAATTAAACTAGACAAAAATGGAAGCAAAGGAATAAAATTTAAAATGATGTTTGTATCAGATGGGTGGAGGCAGACGGATTAGAAGATTTGGTAAGTTACATCAAAAACTTAGTTTTTATTTGAGTGGTGGGCTTGAGGGTGTTTGTTATACTATTAAATATAACTGAGTGAATAAATAAAAAGGGGCCATGTTTTCACCAAATGAAGAGACTGTCATGACCGTGTAATTTATAGGTAAACCAATTCTGTGTACGTCAATTCCAAAGAGGTAAGAACAAGGTATAAAAAGTGTGGTCCCTGTAGGGGCAGTGGTCGCTTAGACTCTAAACAGAGAAATAAAGTAGGGGATTTCAAACTGAGGACAATATGACATAATGAGGATGGTTCTTCTGGATTCTCTATGGTAATAAGACTAGCCAGGTTTTCTTCAGTGCCTGTGATATACCAGGCATTCTGATAGATGTGTCTACATGCATTATCTCATTTAATCTTTGTTGCTGAATACATGTCACTTTTTCCACTGCACAGACAAGAAAATTGAAGTTCAAAGTTTATCATGTCCAAGGACCCAGACAGAAATGTAGTTGATTGAGGGGCAGACAGAATAACTGTGACTGGGAGACCCATAACCATGTAGATCAGGAGCTTCCCAGAGGGGTCTCTGAAAGGGTGACAAAGGTATTGCATTCATTACTGAGTCCCAACAGGAGACAGAAGATGCTTTCGGCTGAGATTGACTCAAACTTAATGAAAAGAATATTGACAGAGTTGTGTGCAAGGACAAGAAAAGCAACAAGAAATGCTGAGCTTCTCCAGCACTCACAAGGGCAGGAAGCCCTTACCACCCATAGGTCTGAGGAGGAGGTGGGAGAGAAAACTCTAACAAAGAGCAAGCTGCCTGACAGGTGTTGGAACAGTCAGAGAGAGACACCGCCACCGCAGAAGGCAGATGGTGCACTCCAAACTCTCCCACTCCTGCACTTCGATCTCCTGCCAGCATCTTCCATTTGTTGCCCACAATAGGACACAGGGAGCAGGGGATCTTGATAAGGTGGTTCTTAGGGGTCAGTCTCCTTGGGGCATTGAGCAGGATGGTAATCTTGGGAACAAGGGACAGAAAATGGACAGTAAACAGCACAGCCATCTTTTAACTGGCCATGGTTAGGGATTTTTTATTTGGTAACTATTATAAAAATGTATAATATTTACCTATAAATCAATCAATTGGTCAACTAAGCTTGCTTCTTCTCTCTTTTCTCTGTCAGGTACATGCACAAATCATATGATCCATTATTTAAAAATACACACTCAGTCAATGACAGACACAGAACCTACTTTTCCCTTTTATTTTTAATTCTGACCCTAAAGAACTATAAAGCTTTTTATCTTCTCAATAGAAAACAATATCATGATTTAATAGCATGGAATTAAAATGAGGAGACTAACCTTTGGCTCAACATTATTTATGTATTTTAATTTTTGACATTATTTTACACTTTGTGAGTGAAGGATAATTGATATCAGATTAGAAAATATTTTGCATCTCTAGAAAACAGCATGGTGTTTGTAACCATTGTATTGAATAGCCATAAAACTTAAATTTGTTTTTTTATTGTTATTATTATCACCATAAATAGGAAATTTTAAACAATGTCATCCAGGAAATACTCCTGCCTCTGAAAAACCTTCTGTTGCTCCATCTTTTAAACAACTACTAGGGTTATTGCTGAGTTTTAGTAATGTACATGTGAGCTCCACATAAGCACAGTTTTCTTACTTTCCCTTTAATAAACATGTATTCTACACAGAAGCTAATTTGGGGAACTTTCAGTTATAGAGTCTACCCCACCATACACAGCCTGTTATACACATTCACTTCAAAAAGGAGTTAGTAAAGTTAGTAAAGCTGGAGCTTGTTTAAGCACAGTTCATGTTGTCAATCCCTACATATTCTTGGGTAAAAATAGGATATTCAGAATAAACAGTGATAGATGTTTGCAATTTTTCTTTTCTGAGTTTTCTTTTTAATGTGAAGTTTTAGATGAGACTAATCAGACACAAATTTGCAAACAGCCAGAATCAAATGTGAACAATGTGTAGTGATACGCTAGTCTTTAAAATGGTTCCTTGTGAAGAATGCCATTGATTATGCAACAAAAAATGTAATGAAATGCAATTTATATAGAGAAAAAATATCTAACTTAAAAAAGACTGACAGGAGAAAAGACAAAAGATGATGTTCTTGCCTTGCCAGAGATTTCAAAAAGTCAACATTTGAATGCCTTGGTCATTTTCACAAAGAACTGGACATGTTCTAAGTCAATGAATCAAGTAAACTCAATGTTACCAATCATTCAGGCATTTTCTCTGATTTCTGCAGAAGAAAGAAAATTTAGAAGTTTTTTCCAAATAAAACAGAAGTGCATGATGAATTTTCTGGTGAAGATACTTTAGTGGAAATGTTTTAACTACAGAGATATTTGATTGCCTCTAGAATCAACTCTAAAGAAATAAAGACCTAAATAGCATGCTATTTCTGGAACTTATTATGAAATGAAATTTTTATGAATTTCTGCCAAACTTACCCTTATAATTAAGACTTTTGTTAACTATTTTTAGATCTGTCACTTCATGTGAAAGAAACATTTCATAATTAAAATGATTAAAATGTGTGCATCAACCAGATATAAGCATAGATATGCAACAAACAATTTTAACAATTATTGACAAATTTGGATAAAATAGAAACTGTAATATCATTATTCAGTACTCTGATAGACTACTATATTAGCATAGGGTTTTTTAAAAATATAGCAGTGTAATTAAAAGAATTCATTACTTTTTTCTTTTTTGTATCTTAATATTAATTTAAAATTTATTTAATTTTATAAAATTTCAACTTTTATTTTAGATACAAGGGTACAAGTGCAGATTTGTTACATGGGAATATTGCACAATGCTGAGGTTTGGAGTATGAATCTCATCACCCTGGTATTGAGCATAGAACCCTATAAGTAGTTTGTTTTGTTTTCGTTTTTGTTGGCATGATTTTATATATGAAGTTCAATAAAAGAAAATTTTAATAGTCTGCATTCATTTTCTTGCTATAACAATTTTTTTCAAGATTGTTACCAAAAATATCTTTTCACGTGGAAGATGGTGTTAAAGAGTGATCTGGTTCAGGTGTCCATATGCTACTTACATCACAGTCAGGTATATGTACTTTTGTGAAGAATTCCTTCTCCCTCTGTCTTTATTCTTTAGTTCTTCTACTTCTATCTCCTCCAAAGGATAAGAAAGAGGAGATCCTTTTCTGCTTACTTGTCCAGATGTTAGAGTCTATGCTGCATGCTTGATTTTCCTTTGGGAAAGGTGTTCAAAGTCTTGCTTTTTCAGGGGCTCCAGGATTGGGTTTCCTTGGGAAGCCCTTTAGACGCTCTCCCCTGTACAATTCCTTGATATGGCTGATGTGATTGCTTTACATTATCCTGTCATTCCCCCACCTGAGTTGATGTTATTTGGAAGTACACCCCACGGCCTTCCGTGCTGAGTTCTCCTTATGCTGGCAGACCATCCTCCTGGGGGAAGGAACCAGCTGTGTTTTACTGTGTCCACCGGACCCAAGGGAAACCCATGAATCCTAGCCATCCCAAATAACAGGATCAAAGGCTGCCTACATGTTACCTGTTCTTCTTGTCCTGCTTACGGAATGCTCCAGAGCAGCAGGCACCTGTCTTGATCTTTATGCATGTCCCAACTCCAGGATGCACCTATGAGGCACCCCCAAAATTCCACACACACAACACTCTGCCCATGGCAGCCCCAAATGGGCTGATTTCCTGCAGCACAAGTTTCTAGCCAGTAGTATTATAATGCCACTTTCCCATGCTTGCTCACAATCTCAGTCTTGCTCTGTGGTTTCCTTGAGGTTCACTCACTAGGCCATGTGTTCTCTAGTGGTTAGCTCTACTGGTTACGCCAGTTGGATGGTGAAGGTCTCAGAGTTACTTTGATTAAGTCTTACTATGCTGTAAGATGAGCTCTTATATGCTAATTTTAAAATGAAGAAGAATTTCTCACCTGATTGTATTTAGTTTGGCTACCTCAGATCTCAGTAGAGAGGAGAGGGAGGCCTCACTTATTGGAATGGGAGTGGTGGTAACTGTCAGGCAGGTGTGGATTCAGGAAAGCTTTTAGAATTTTTAGGCAAGAATAGAGGGAGCTCCAGTTTTGTGATTTCTGTTTTCTCTGTGACATGAAAAATGAGATTGTCTATCTCTACAAAAAGAGATGGGAAGAAGTAGTAAGTTTAAAGATAGTGGAGAAACATTGAAAAATGTTTTTGTAAAGATCTATAAAGACTGGGAAAGCAAGTTAATATGGAAGAACACATCAAATTATGTACCTTGTTGAGCCCCTACTCTCTGTGCAAAATAGTACCAAAATAGGAGGGAGTGCACAGGCTGGAGGGCCGACAAAGATCAACCTCAATTACCCAATAATATAACCTTAGATGGGCTAAGTGTGTGTTTAGATGCATGGGATTCTTTAGATTGTTAATTCAAATTATCCACAGACACTACTTTTTTTTTTTGAGACAGAGTCTCGCTTTGTCACCTAGGCTAGAATGCAGTGACACATTCTCAGCTCACTGCAACCTCTGTCTCCCAGGTTCAAGTGATTCTCCTGCCTCAGCCATCCGATAGCTGGGGTTACAGGCACATGCCACCACACCCCACTAATTTTTGTATTTTTAGTAGAGATGGGTTTCACCATGTTTGCCAGGCTGGTCTCGAACTCCTGGCCTCAAGTGATCCACCTGCCTCGGCCTCCCAAAGTGCTGGGATTACAGGTGTGAGCCATCACACCTGGCTGACACTACATTTTTGAAATTAGAAAGATGGAAAAGGAGATACTAAGAATAATGAAATGAAGATATAGTGCTCATTTTCAACAACACAAGCATCCTATTTCTTTCAATAATGGCTTCTTAGACCTCTTTCTTTCTTTCTCTCTATATAATATATATTTATATATTTATATATGTGTGTATATATACATATTTATACACTTATACATGTGTATGTATACATATACTTATGTGTTTGTGTGTGTGTATAGATATATACAGATATAAATATATATATATGTATACATATCTATGATTTTCCTATACTGCATTTAAAAGTTAAAGCTATCACTATGACATTGGTCTGGGCAATGATTTTTTTTTTGGATATGACCCCAAAAGCACAGGTAACAAAAGCAAAAGTAGACAAATGGAATTACATCAAACTAAAATGCTTCTTCACAGCAAAGGAATCAATAGAGTGAAGAGAAAACCTAAAGAATGGGAGAAAATATTTGCAAACTCTACATCTGATAAGGGGTTAATATCCAAAATACGTAAGGAATACAAACAACTAAACAGCAAGAAAACAAATAACCAATTTTTAAAATGGGCGAAGTACATTTCTCAAAAGATGACATAAAAATGGCCAACAGATATATGAAAAAATGCAGATTAAAACCATAATGAGATATCACTTCACCCTGTTAGAATGGCTATTATCAAAAAAACAAATGATAACAAGTGCTGCAGAGGATGTGGAGAAAAGGGAAGTCTGGCACACTGTGGAGGGGAATGTAAATCAGCACAGCTATATGAACAACAGTACAGAGGTTTCTCAAAAAATTACAAGCAGGCCGGGCATGGTGGCTCACGCCTGTAATCCCAGCACTTTAGGGGGCCAAGGCAAGCTGATCACCTGAGGTTGGAAGTTTGAGACCAGCCTGGCCAATATGGTGAAACCTCATCTCTACTAAAAATACAAAAATTATCTGGGTGTGGTGGTGGGGGCCTGTAATCCAAGCTACTCAGGAGGCTGAGGTGGGAGAATTGTTTAAAGAAAGGTGGCTGAGGTTGTAGTGAGCTGAGATTGCCCACTCCACCCCAGCCTTTGTGGCAGAGCAAGACTCTGTCTCAAAAAAAAAAAAATTTTTTTTTACAAGAAGATCTATCATATGATTTACCAATCCTACTATGGGACATATATCCAAACGAAATGAAATAAGTATGAAAAGAGAGATCTGTACTGCCACGTTTATTGCTGCATTATTTGCAACAGCCAAGACAGGGAATCAAGCTAAGTGTTCATCAGTAAATAAATGAATTAAGAAAATGTGTTTTGTATACACAATAGAATACTATACAGCCTTTCAAAAACAGGAGGAAACCTTGTCATTTGAGACAACATGGATAAATCTGGAGGATATTATGTTAAATGAAGGAAGCCTGGTACAGAAAGACATATTGCATGATCTCACTTATATGTGGAATCTTAAACAGCTGATCTCATGGAGGTAGAGAGAAGAATGGGTGTTACTAGGGGCTGTGGTGGTTTGGGTGGTTGAAAGGGAGGTTTGGGAAGATGTTGCTGAAAGAATACAAAATTTTAGTTAGGAGGAATAAATTCAAGAGATCTATAGTACAACATGGTGACCATAACTAATAAGGTATCGTACTTTTAAAAAATGCTAAGAGTCAATGTAAAGTGTTCTTACCACAAAAATAACTATAGAAAGTAATGCATATGTTAATTAACTAGATTCAGTCACTCTACAATGTGCATATACTTCAAAACAATATGCCACATATGGTAAACATGTGCAATTGTATCTGTTAATTTAAATAGGCAAATAAATAAAAATTAAAGCTTCCAATAGAGTCTATCACACAGCTTCAAAACAATAAGTTAAATATATTTCGAGTAGATAATTGAAAGGAAAAATTCTATTTTTTTCAAGTAGCAATGATCAATTTTCAAATAGACCTTTCTCCCTACTGCCTCAGAGGTATTTACAGAAAATATCAAGATCTCTCTTAAATATAGCACATTGCTTCTGCTATGTTTAGTCTCCTAATTCTCTTTCCAATTGCTCAGTCCACAGCTTGACATATCTTTGGAAATGATTC
Organism: Homo sapiens; assembly: GCF_000001405.40. Classification (NCBI taxonomy): domain Eukaryota; kingdom Metazoa; phylum Chordata; class Mammalia; order Primates; family Hominidae; genus Homo; species Homo sapiens. The sequence goes on along the minus strand of NC_000002.12, from coordinate 228,239,747 downwards.
CTTGGAGGGCTTAGTATATTTTATAAAAGAGCAAAAGGCCTTTTATTTTCATGCTTCATGTGTGAATTTTCCATGCCCAGTTTCAGAATAAATAACAATCACTTTCTGTGCTGTGTTGTGAATGTTCATGACATTCAATGTTTTCCTCATTTGCTTTTCATCAACATCCAGCTCTGGATATTTTCAAAAACAGAAATATCTTCCTTTCACACAGAGGGAAGGACACAGAAAACTTTCACGTTGCTTCCTTAAGTGACAAATAATACTATTATAGAAATGCTATTTGTTCCTGGTTGACTTCCTTTGGTTTGCAGAAAATTTTTCTTTGTGAGTCATCTAATCTGAATTGCACATTATTTTTGTTTGACATCTCTTGTAAAGGGCTATAATTCCCATTTTCACAGAGGAATAATTTGCTGAACAGTTTCCTAATGGTAGGTCAGCATTTATGTTCTAAACCTCCTGCCTACAGATATACTTTCTTTTATATTTGGCAGAAATATCATCCCAATTACCTGTGGTTTCCCTTTCTAAAATTATTATTATTTTTTAAATTTTTTAATATTTTTTATTATACTTTAAGTTCTAGGGTACATGTGCACAACGTGCAGGTTTGTTACATATGTATACATGTGCCATGTCGGTGTGCTGCACCCATTAACTCGTCATTTACATTACGTATATCTCCTAATGCTATCCCTCCCCCCTCCCCCCACCCCACACAAATGTTCCCCTTCTAAAATTATATGTAATATGTATCTTCAAACAGAAAAAGATTAAAAACAAGAAAGTTCACCTTCCTTTAAGCAATAAATAACCAACGGTTTATTCAGATAAAAGAGATGCTTTGCCTGATTGGTAGTATGTGAAAGAGTGAGAAACTAAGAAAGAAGGAAACCAGAGATGTAGCATGCACCAAGAAAAGATTAATGAAAGCATTGCTTGCCTGGAAGTATTAAGGATAAAAATGGCATCCTGCCCTTCTACTAGATTGCCTTGTCACATCTATCCAACGGGCTTTGGGGTAGCGGGGCTTGCCCTATGGGCAGTTTGAAAGGGAAGTGCCAGAGTGAAATTGGGTCAGCCTGGCTGCATGGAGTCAACCACCACTCCCCGATCCATGGTTCCATAGGGTCCCCGTAATCCTACATTCAAGGATTGAGTTCAAGTCTAAGTGAGTAGAGTGAAAAAACTCAAAGATTAAAATCTGTTTCCAATGTTTTATACATTGATTTGAGATATGGTTAGATGGGTGCACACATTTGTTAAGACTCATGGAATTGTACCCCGTAAAGGAGTGAGTTTTATTATTTGTGTATTAGACTTTAATGAAGGTAATTTCAAAAAATAATTTAAAAACTTTTAGCTGGCCGGGGCGGTGGCTCACGCCTGTAATCCCAGCACTTCGGGAGGCCAAGGCGGGCGGATCACGAGGTCAGGAGATCCAGACCATTCTGACTAATGCGGTGAAACCTCGTCTCTACTAAAAATACAAAAAAATTAGCCAGGCGTGGTGGCCGGCGCCTGTAGTTCCAGCTACTCAGGAGGCTGAGGCAGGAGAATGGTGTGAACCCGGGAGGCGGAGCTTGCAGTGAGCCGAGATCGCGCCACTGCACTCCAGCCTGGGCGACAGAGCAAGACTCCATCTCAAAAAAAAAAGAAAAAAAAAAAACTTTTAGCTATAAAGATGACAAATTTTAAGGAATATGCTTGTGATACAATGCTATTTTAAAAATTTTTATTATGATATTAGTTTACCTTTAAAATAGAAGTTATTTTAAATAACTATGTCTGAAAAAAGTATATTCTCTATATAACCTCTATAGGTAATATCATTATCTTTTCTGGTAATTAAAATAACTAATATCAACAAGGTGAAGAGAAACCCCACAGAACGAGAGAAAATATGTGCAAACTACTCATCTGACAGGGAATTAATAACCAGAATATATAAGGAGCTCAAACAACTCGGTAGGTAGAAAACAAATAATCTGATTTAAAAATTGGCAAAAGATCTGAGTGGACATTTCTCAAAAGATGACCTACAGAGGGCAACAGGTATGTGAAAAACTCTTCCACATCATTAATCACCAGACAAATGCAAATCTAAACTACAATGAGATATCATCTCATCTCAGTTAGATTGGCTATTACTGAAAAGACAAATGCTAGCAAGGGTGTGAAGAAAGGAAAATTCTTATTCATTGTGTGGATGTAAATTAATACAGCCACTATGGAAAACGGTACAGAGGTTCCTCCAAAAACTAACCACAGAACTACCATAGGATCCAGCAATCCCACTGCTAGGTACATACCCAAAAGAAGTGAATCCAATATGTAGAAGAGATACCTGCACTCCCATGCTTATTGCAGCTCTGTTCACAATAGGAAAGACTCAGAATCAACCTATGTCCATCAACAAATGAATGGATTCAGAAAATGTGGTATATATATACAATGGAATATCATTCAGCCATAGAAAGAATCAAGTCCTGTCATTTGCAACAACACAGATGGAATTGGAAGAACTCAAGTGAAATTAACCAAGCACAGAAAGACAAATATGTTTTCATTTTTATGTGGGAGATTAAAAAAAAAAAAAAGAACTCATGGAGATAGAGAATAGAATGAAAGTTGTCAGAGGCCTGGAAGGGTAATGGGAAGGTAGGAGATTAAGACGGGAGCTGGTCACAGTGGCTCACGCCTGTAATCCCAGCACTGTGGGAGACTGAGGTGGGCAGATCACTTGAGATCAGGAGTTCGAGACCAGCCTGGCCAACATGGTGAAACCCCATCTCTACTAGAAACACACAAAAAATTAGCCGGGCGTGGTGGCAGTTGCCTGTAATCCCAGCTACTTGGGAGGCTGAGGCAGGAGAATCACTTAAACCCAAGAGGCAGAGGTTTCAGTGAGCCAAGATTATGCCACTGCACTCCAGCCCAGGAAACAGTGTAAGACTCCTTCAAAAAAAATAAAACAACAACAACAACAACAAACTTGTAGAGGAAATTTTTAGACAAAAAGAAAAACTAAATCTTTATTCCAGTTCTGACATCACGAGTGAAGTTAATCTCTGAGTCTTTCCTCATCCATAAAATGAGAATTGTATCTGCTTTACTAACATTACAAGGTAGTTGTGAATATCACAAGAAATAATATACATGAAACAACTTTATAAAGTACCTCATCAATGTTCAACTTTAAATTTATAACACATTTAGTGCTCTAATTAGTCTATAAACCCTGTCTTTTCTGAAGCTTTATCTTATTCACGTTGTAGCCTCCAGCAACTATCATAACACAGTCAGCATATACTAAGTGTTCAATAAATATTAGTTGACTAAATAAGTTAAAGAGGTATAAACTGATTACCAGCTATTGCCAAGGAATATGGTAGGCACAGAGCAAATACGCACATTAATCAAATCAAGATTCTACTTGAGCAGATAACACATGCACATAGACTTAACAAGGTGATTTGTCCCTGAAACAAATGCACTTGGATAAGGAAAAGGATGAGCATGGGGGAAAATAATTGGACCTTCCTTGGCCAATCTTTTTCATCTTTAGAGAAAAAGGGCAAGAAAAAAGAGCAGTGAGGATTCAGTTGTCCAAAATGAAAATTGATTATAAAGACCAGACACTAGTCAGAAATAGAAATATCTCTTTCTCTCTCTCTCGCCACAAATGCACACAAATACACACAGAGAAACTTATTTTCTGTGTATTTCTAACTAGTGCTGAGGAACACGAGCAGAGAAAAGAAAAGTTATCTGGAAAAGTATTAGTAAATTATTGCCTTAAAAACTTTATGATCCCTCAGGGTCTCTTCAAATCTCAAATGAATACTGTCACTAAGTTTTTTGTTTGTTTGTTTGTTTTTACAAGTAACACCTCTTGAAGTTATCTTTCATTTCCGTTAGAAAACAAATATGTACCTCCTTTCCTAAAAAAGAAGTAAGAAGAACCTCTGCAAACCAGAGAAATGCCTCTTCCTTACTAAAGCTGTCCAAATGTTGAGGATTCTGGCTAAGGAGTGAGAGCTGAGCATTGTCACTTCATAACTGAAGCCACTGCTGCTCTCAAAGTCCACTGCAACCAGGACATTGAATTTGGAGAATGGCTTCCTTGATGCTGCCAGTTGGGTTTCTGACAAGGGATGTGCCTGGGTCTTGAAGCCACTGAAGAGGACTCCCACTCACAGTAACAAAATTCCAGGAGTCCATAAGCTCCTGTACTTAGTGATTTTACACAAACCTTTCACAGACTTGCAAAAGTATCACAATCACTTTAAATACAGCATCCAGGCCATCAACTCATGCTCTATTATTTGGTGCAGCCAATTACTAAACCGGGCTATTCATGCCCAGTGGGCATTTCAGTGCTGAACTTACTTTCAAAAATATTTTATGAAGTTGCTGCATCTTTTCAACATTTGCAAAAGCCAGCCTCTGTTTTCCCCACCTCTTCACCACAGAATATGATTTAAAGGAACGCCTTAGTTACATCTGCCTTTTAAAAATGTATAAAATGATATATTAAAGTTTGCATCATATCAATCAAATGCTGTTTCTATAAACCAGTGAAAACATTCATTCATTTCCTCTCCTTTTTTTCTACGTAAACTAAAAAATATTCCTATCAAGACACAATCTCGCAGGCATGCCCATGCCTAGCTGTGACAGGAGCAAGACTGCCTGTGTGGAGCATAAATGTTTACATGCTGGTCTCTTAACAATTGACTGCAAGGTAAAAAGCTTTACCACTGTTGGCCCAATAGACTACCATCTGTGCGGAAAGTTATGTATATTGTTCAGCAGGGTGTTCCCGATACAACCTATTCATGTCACTATAAATATTAGAAATATCTCAGGCAGCTATTGAAAATCAGAAACTGCATGCAAGTTGAGGAAGTGTCCTTTAGTCTAGGATCCACCTGCCTCATGGAAATCACTCTCCTGTGTCTTCTTCTTGTTCTTTAGCCACAAAAGACAGTTTGATGCCCTGGTGTTTATTTGTTTGCCAGGAAAGAATCTAAATCCAGGATTTAACTGGTTGTTCTCTGAAGCAGAACTGGGTTGTGAATTGAAGAAAGAAAGTAGTTTACAAAGATGCTAGAGCTACCAGTGGTCTTTGTTGTCCCAAGCAGAAACATTGGGCTTGTGATCTCCCATGGGTGGGTCTGTACGTCTTCAGTAAACATAAAAGGCGTAGTTAAAATGCTCCCCAGTCGGGGAACAGACAAACAAAAAGACAGCAGTAACCTCTGCAGACTTAAATGTCCCTGTCTGACAGCTTTGAAGAGAGCAGTGGTTCTCCCAGCACACAGCTGGAGATCTGAGAACAGGCAGACTGCCTCCTTAAGTGGGTCCCTGACCCCTGACCCCTGAGCAGCCTAACTGGGAGGCACCCCATAGCAGGGGCAGACTGACACCTCACACGGCCGGGTACTCCAACAGACCTGCAGCTGAGGGTCCTGTCTGTTAGAAGGAAAACTAACAAACAGAAAGGACATCCACACCAAAAACCCATCTCTACATCACCATCATCAAAGACCAAAAGTAGATAAAACCACAAAGATGGGGAAAAAACAGAGCAGAAAAACTGGAAACTCTGTAAAACTTTGTAAAAAAAAAAGCAGAGCACCTCTCCTCCTCCAAAGGAACACAGTTCCTCACCAGCAACAGAACAAAGCTGGACAGAGAATGACTTTGATGAGCTGAGAGAAGAAGGCTTCAGACGATCAAATTACTCTGAGCTATGGGAGGACATTCAAACCAAAGGCAAAGAAGTTGAAAACTTTGAAAAAAATTTAGAAGAATGTATAACTAGAATAACCAATACAGAGAAGTGCTTAAAGGAGCTGATGGAGCTGAAAACCAAGGCTCGAGAACTACGTGAAGAATGCAGAAGCCTCAGGAGCCAATGCGATCAACTGGAAGAAAGGGTATCTGTGATGAAAGATGAAATGAATGAAATGAAGCGAGAAGGGAAGTTTAGAGAAAAAAGAATAAAAAGAAACAAGCAAAGCCTCCAAGAAATATGGGACTATGTGAAAAGACCAAATCTACGTCTGATTGGTGTACCTGAAAGTGATGGGAAGAATGGAACCAAGTTGGAAAACACTCTACAGGATATTATCCAGGAGAACTTCCCCAATCTAGCAAGGCAGGCAAACATTCAGATTCAGGAAATACAGAGAACGCCACAAAGATACTCCTCGAGAAGAACAACACAAAGACATACAATTGTCAGATTCACCAAAGTTGAAATGAAGGAAAAAATGTTAAGGGCAGCCAGAGAGAAAGGTCGGGTTACCCACAAAGGGAAGCCCATCAGACTAACAGTGGATCTCTCGGCAGAAACTCTACAAGCCAGAAGAGAGTGGGGGCCAATATTCAACATTCTTAAAGAAAAGAATTTTCAACCCAGAATTTCATATCCAGCCAAACTAAGCTTCATAAGTGAAGGAGAAATAAAATACTTTACAGACAAGCAAATGCTGAGAGATTTTGTCACCACCAGGCCTGCCCTAAAAGAGCTCCTGAAGGAAGCACTAAACATGGAAAGGAACAACCGGTACCAGCTGCTGCAAATTCATGCCAAAATGTAAAGACCATCGAGACTAGGAAGAAACTGCATCAACTAACGAGCAAAATAACCAGCTAACATCATAATGACAGGATCAAATTCACACATAACAAGATTAACTTTAAATGTAAACGGACTAAATGCTCCAATTAAAAGACACAGACTGGCAAATTGGATAAAGAGTCAAGACCCATCAGTGTGCTGTATTCAGGAAACCCATCTCACGTGCAGAGACACACATAGGCTCAAAATAAAAGGATGGAGGAAGATCTACCAAGCAAACGGAAAACAAAAAAAGGCAGGGGTTGCAATCCTAGTCTCGGATAAAACAGACTTTAAACCAACAAAGATCAAAAGAGACAAAGAAGGCCATTACTTAATGGTAAAGGGATCAATTCAACAAGAAGAGCTAACTATCCTAAATATATATGCACCCAATACAGGAGCACCCAGATTCATAAAGCAAGTCCTGAGTGACCTACAAGGAGACTTAGACTCCCACACATTAATAATGGGAGATTTTAACACCCCACTGTCAACACTAGACAGATCAACGAGACAGAAAGTTAACAAGGATACCCAGGAATTGAACTCAGCTCTGCACCAAGCGGACCTGATAGACATCTACAGAACTCTCCACCCCAAATCCACAGAATATACATTGTTTTCAGCACCACACCACACCTATTCCAAAATTGACCACATAGTTGGAAGTAAAGCTCTCCTCAGCAAATGTAAAAGAACAGAAATTATAACAAACTGTCTCTCAGACCACAGTGCAATCAAACTAGAACTCAGGATTCAGAAACTCACTCAAAACTGCTCAACTGCATGGAAACTGTACAACCTGCTCCTGAATGACTACTCGGTACATAACGAAATGAAGACAGAAATAAAGATGTTCTTTGAAACCAACAAGAACAAAGACACAACATACCAGAATCTCTGGGACACATTCAAAGCAGTGTGTAGAGGGAAATTTATAGCACTAAATGCCCACAGGAGAAAGCAGCAAAGATCCAAAATTGACACCCTAATATCACAATTAAAAGAACTAGAAAAGCAAGAGCAAACACATCCAAAAGCTAGCAGAAGGCAAGAAATAACTACAATCAGAGCAGAACTGAAGGAAATAGAGACACAAAAATCCCTTCAAAAAATTAATGAATCCAGGAGCTGGTTTTTTGAAAGGATCAACAAAATTGATAGACCGCTAGCAAGACTAATAAAGAAAAAAAGAGAGAAGAATCAAATAGACACAATAAAAAATAATAAAAGGGATATCACCACCGATCCCACAGAAATACAAACTACCATCAGAGAATACTACAAACACCTCTACACAAATAAACTAGAAAATCTAGAAGAAATGGATAAATTCCTCGACACATACACCCTCCCAAGACTAAACCAGGAAGAAGTTGAATCTCTGAATAGACCAATAACAGGAGCTGAAATTGTGGCAATAATCAATAGCTTACCAACCAAAAAGAGTCCAGGAACAGATGGATTCACAGCCGAATTCTACCAGAGGTACAAGGAGGAACTGGTACCATTCCTTCTGAAACTATTCCAATCAATAGAAAAAGAGGGAATCCTCCCTAACTCATTTTATGAGGCCAGCATCATCCTGATACCAAAGCCTGGCAGAGACACAACCAAAAAAGAGAATTTTAGACCAATATCCTTGATGAACATTGATGCAAAAATCCTCAATAAAATACTGGCAAACCGAATCCAGCAGCACATCAAAAAGCTTATCCACCATGATCAAGTGGGCTTCATCCCTGGGATGCAAGGCTGGTTCAATATACACAAATCAATACATGTAATCCAGCATATAAACAGAACCAAAGACAAAAACCACAGGATTATCTCAATAGATGCAGAAAAGGCCTTTGACAAAATTCAACAACCCTTCATGCTAAAAACTCTCAATAAATTAGGTATTGATGGGACGTATCTCAAAATAATAAGAGCTATCTATGACAAACCCACAGCCAATATCATACTGAATGGGCAAAAACTGGAAGCATTCCCTTTGAAAACTGGCACAAGACAGGGATGCCCTCTCTCACCACTCCTATTCAACATAGTGTTGGAAGTTCTGGCCAGGGCAGTCAGGCCGAAGAAAGAAATAAAGGGTATTCAATTAGGAAAAGAGGAAGTCAAATTGTCCCTGTTTGCAGATCACATGATTGCATATCTAGAAAACCCCATTGTCTCAGCCCAAAATCTCCTTAAGCTGATAAGGAACTTCAGCAAAGTCTTAGGATACAAAATCAATGTACAAAAATCACAAGCATTCTTATACACCAATAACAGACAAATAGAGAGCCAAATCATGCGTGAACTCCCATTCACAATTGCTTCAAAGAGAATAAAATACCTAGGAATCCAACTTACAAGGGATGTGAAGGACCTCTTCAAGGAGAACTACAAACCACTGCTCAATGAAATAAAAGAGGATACAAACAAATGGAAGAACATTCCATGCTCATGGGTAGGAAGAATCAATATCGTGAAAATGGCCATACTGCCCAAGGTAATTTACAGATTCAATGCCATCCCCATCAAGCTACCAATGACTTTCTTCACAGAACTGGAAAAAACTACTTTAAAGTTCATATGGAACCAAAAAAGAGCCCGCATTGCCAAGTCAATCCTGAGCCAAAAGAACAAAGCTGGAGGCATCACACTACCTGACTTCAAACTATACTACAAGGCTACAGTAACCAAAACAGCATGGTACTGGTACCAAAACAGAGATATAGATCAATGGAACAGAACAGAGCCTTCAGAAATAACGCCGCATATCTACAACCATCTGATCTTTGACAAACCTGACAAAAACAAGCAATGGGGAAAGGATTCCCTATTTAATAAATGGTGCTGGGAAAACTGGCTAGCCATATGTAGAAAGCTGAAACTGGATCCCTTCCTTACACCTTATACAAAAATCAATTCAAGATGGATTAAAGACTTAAACGTTAGACCTAAAACCATAAAAACCCTAGAAGAAAACCTAGGCAGTACCATTCAGGACATAGGCATGGGCAAGGACTTCATGTCTAAAACACCAAAAGCAATGGCAACAAAAGCCAAAATTGACAAATGGGATCTAATTAAACTAAAGAGCTTCTGCACAGCAAAAGAAACCACCATCAGAGTGAACAGGCAACCTACAAAATGGGAGAAGATTTTAGCAACCTACTCATCTGACAAAGGGCTAATATCCAGAATCTACAATGAACTCAAACAAATTTACAAGAAAAAAACAAACAACCCCATCAGAAAGTGGGCAAAGGACATGAACAGACACTTCTCAAAAGAAGACATTTATGCAGCCAGAAAATACATGAAAAAATGCTCACCATCACTGGCCATCATAGAAATGCAAATCAAAACCACAATGAGATACCATCTCACACCAGTTAGAATGGCAGTCATTAAAAAGTCAGGAAACAACAGGTGCTGGAGAGGATGTGGAGAAATAGGAACACTTTTACACTGTTGGTGGGACTGTAAACTAGTTCAACCATTGTGGAAGTCAGTGTGGCGATTCCTTAGAGATCTAGAACTAGAAATACCATTTGACCCAGCCATCCCATTACTGGGTATATACCCAAAGGACTATAAATCATGCTGCTATAAAGACACATGCACACGTATGTTTACTGCGGCATTATTCACAATAGCAAAGACTTGGAACCAACCCAAATGTCCAACAATGATAGACTGGATTAAGAAAATGTGGCACATATACACCATGGAATACTATGCAGCCATAAAAAATGATGAGTTCATGTCTTTGTAGGGACATGGATGAAACTGGAAATCATCATTCTCAGTAAACTATCGCAAGAACAAAAAACCAAACACCGAATGTTCTCACTCATAAATGGGGATTGAACAATGAGAACACATGGACACAGGAAGGGGAACATCACACTCTGGGGACGGTTGTGGGGTGGGGGGAGGGGGGAGGGATAGCATTGGGAGATATACCTAATGCTAGATGACGAGTTAGTGGGTGCAGTGCACCAGCATGGCACATGTATACATATGTAACTAACCTGCACATTGTGCACATGTACCCTAAAACTTAAAGTATAATAATAATAAATAAATAAATAAAATAAAATAAAATAAAATGCTCCCCAGTCAATGCTTAGACTAAGAAGAGTTTCTGCTTGAGCAAATTAGAGCAACTTCTCCGGACCTCTATTGCCACGTAACTCTGCTGCTCACAGAGACTAACTTTTGCATCTTGTAAATAACTCTGGCATGATTAGTCAGAGGAGGTTTCAAGGTGTCAAGTGTGGTGATTTACAAGCACTGTTCACTTAACGTCTACTATCCACACCTCCCCTGACCCCAACAAAAGACTTCATGAGAAAAATGAACCCTTATTGGTCACAAGATAATCTCCTGGGAGAAAATTCGATTTGGTTAAATGTTCATGAAGCTGAAAATTTCACAAAATGAAGTGCTTTTTATAAATTAGGCTGGAAATCTTTCAGTGACAGGATATTTGGAAAGGTTTCTTACACTTCCAGATTTGAAGGAATTGGGAAAATCTGCAAAGACAGCTCCTAAGTTCATGCATCACATGTAAGAACAGCATATTATACTCTTTCCTTCCCTCTGGAATCCAACTGTGCTTACGGCTCACTATATGAATTTGAGAGTGGGTAACACATCCTTTTACTTAGAGTGGTGGAGAACAATGTCTTCACTCCGGGTTCCAGTGTGAAGACTTGAACGGTTTTACAGATGACATCTCACTAATTTCCTTTGAATAGGAAATCATCTAGAGGAATTTCAGAGTAGTAACTATCACACTAATTTCGGTGCAAGAGGGGGAAGTTAAGGAATTACTACTGTGCTGAATGTCCTCTGAAACGCGAGTTTTCTCCAGGCCTCTTTCTAGTCTATTCTTCCTGTGCTGGGCAGTCTAAGGTAAATCCCAGTCCCACCTTTTATCTCCCAAAAATACTTAAAAATTATTTTAGATTATCTTAATGTCTTTGACTCCTTTGCCATACAATTTATTGTCATGGAAATAGCACTAGACTTAAAGGAAAAAGGCTGATTTTCCTCTCCCTACCATTTGCCAGGTGTGCAGTTCACATAACTGCTCTAATATGCAGTTTTCTCATTTATTCATTTGTTCATTAATTTAGCAAGCAAATATTCATTGAGTATTTACTCCAGGCCAGGTATGGTGCTAGACACTAATGATAAAATGGTGACTCAAACAAGGTGACCATCATTGATTTTTACCTCCCCGTGTGCTCAACTCTTTCTTCCATTGCAGAGTGGAGTTGATTTCCCTTCCCTTGAAACTGGGTAGGCTTTTCGACTGCTTGACCAATAGAATACAATAGATGTGGTGCTAGATCCAACGCACAGACTTCAAAAGTCTGGTGGCTTCCAGTTTCTGTCTCTTGGAGCATCTGTTTGTGGGATCCTGCATCCGCCTTGTAAGAAATCCAAACCCTGAGGCTACCATTTACGAGGAAACCCAGAGCCAGCCATGTGGAAAATCCATGGGAAGAAACAAAGAGAGAGATGGAGAGATGGGTCGGGGAAGCTTGGTCAGTCCCTGGCTTCTTCACATAATCTGATACTGGGGCTGGAATAGTATCTAAATCATTTTAAATGGGAAGGTGACAAAATCAAGATTGGTCTTTATCAAAAGACATACCTTCCCAACAGGACTGTTGCTTGCTCAAGTGTTATATTATGCACAAGCATTTTTGTAAGGCCAAAAGCATTATTAAAATGCAAAATATTATAATTAGTTATTATAAAAAATGTTTTAGTGAGTTCACAAAGAAAAAGCCAGATTTTAAAACCCAGAGGTAAATAGCACATTTTCAAGAAATATTCAAAATGAAGGGAAAACTCAGTAATTATCTACAAATAAGATTAGTACTCTAATGGCATATACAGTTAAAATGTATTACAGGCAAAGTAAAGTAAAACTACAAGTAAAAACATTTCTTTCATAATATTTTCTCTTTGATTTGCTATGGCCAAAAGCACAAGGAATTTGAGGTCAGAAATTGTGATTTGTTATGTTAATTCTGTCCATAAGTAATTACATGACCTTGGTCCAGTCTTTGAAATCTGAAGACTTCAGTTTCCCACCTGAAAATTGAGAGATCACAGTAATTGTTTTTTTCCAGTTCTTCAATTCAAATGGCTTTTAGCTATTATCTATAAAATTATTACATGTGTAAATACATGTGATTATATAAAAACTCCTGTATCCTTTTTTTAGAATTTTTGACACATTGTAAGCCAAACTAATATATTCATGATATTCTTTACACTGATATATCACTCATAAACTATGTTTTGTTCAAAGTCTGTTTTAACAGATTGTTCTTGGCAAAGTCACTGCATACTTTGTTCTTTAATTTTCTAGCAATCACTTAAGAACAACTGATTACTCTGAGTTTTACCAGAATAAAATGTTAATGCATTCTATAAAAGGCTGGTTAGTTCAATTGAAAGTAATTCACTGTCAGTTTCTGGGCTTACCCTCAAAAAGAACCTTAAAATAATTTATTGTTTTATGTCTACTTATATGCAAGTCCCATTCATCCTATTTAGGGGACTTTCCCTGAGGGAAGATGAGCGTAATCAAGCTTAAGGTTTTGTATGTTTATAGTGTCCTCAGTCTAGGTAAAATTTCAGGCTCACCTAGATCCATTTGTCATTGGAGTTCACATGAATATGTATGAATAAATAGAAATGAATTTCTGTAGCACCTTCTATATTCAACTCTTCTTTCTCGATGAAAGACACATTTGAACAAAACTCAGTCCCTGCCACTGTTCATTTAGAAAGCAAAACATTTATGCAAATAAGTACCTGTAAGTCTGAGAGCATTATGTCATGAAAAGAATGAAGTAGACTTCCTAGCATGATTGCATGGTAACAATAGACTTCCAGACCCCAACTCCCATGCACAGACTCTGAGAAACACCTTTAGGTTAAAACGGATGAGATCAAATTGAAGGAAGTCATCCGAGCGGGTAAAGCAGTACATTGAAGTGGTAAAAAGCATAAGCTATGGATTCAATCACAACTGGGTTAGTTCTGCCACTTAGTAGTCCTAATAATAATGGCAAGCTATATAAATGTTCTGTATTTGGTTCTACATCTGTAAAATAAGAGCAACATACACCTTCCTCAATGAACTGTTGGGAAGTAGTTTAATTGACAAAAGATATATATATATATCATGATGATTATAATGGCTGTAATATAGTAAACACTGAATAAATGTTGTCTGTAAGTATGATGATGTTGGTAGAAGTTTTAAACAATGAAAATCAATGTAGGCTGGTGTCTGAGGACCAATTGTAGCATTGCACACAGACAATCACTATTCACTTGTATTAGGCAATACATATGTATGCCATACAGGCAAATCCAAGGCCTGTGTTGATTGGGTAGAAGCAATATTTCACCAGTAAATTATGACATAGTCAAGATTGTACTCCAGGGTTACTACTATACTGATTTGGTAAAATTTTTCTTTTACTATTTGGAGAACCAGTTCACCTTTCTCTGATATCCAGTATCTTCACACATTAATTCACCTTTTCTCCAATTAAAGCTTACTCTCCAATATCAAATTAAGAGTATGTAGAAAGAATTTCCAACATATTATAGAGTTATCTTCCCACAAACATTTCCATTTTAAAAGGGTCCAACACTCTAAAGGAAATGAGCAAATTTTTTGTAGGCACCAGGTATATGGAGTGAGCAAAAGAATTTTCAATGCTGAGAGGTAGACAGATGCTTCCCCACACACCCTGAGAATTGTATCTATTCACCTATGACTAAAGACAAACTTACTTTAAGACATTGGTTCACAGAAACTAAACGATTGTCAACAGGATATGAAATGTGAAGACCACATGCTAATTGATGTATAATTAATATATGATCATATCTAGTTAAAAATATTTACTGACAATGCTACTGTTATTGCAAGTTGAGTTCTTGTTATGCAAGTAGCGTAGGTTTCCAGGTGCTAAAACAAGTCCAAAAATAGAGATCCCAGCACCATCTGGGATTTTTGACTTATTGCACATAGTTTACATCATTACATAGGTGAAGCCCAAAAATCTATATAACAGAATGTTCTATTTCACATCTCTCTGCTTTTTAACATAACTGGGCTCTCATAAAGGTTAACTTTTATAAAAATGAGAACAATATCCTCAAATGTCAGATAGAAGATATGAACATGGGTGTGTGTGCTGAGTTAAGGATATCATCGAGAACAAATGTCTGAGGATATATATATGTGAATGCACATAAAGATGTGTGTACTTGTGCACAAATGATTGCTAACCTGGTGGTTACAACAGAAGAAACAATAGCATCTACCATTCATCAATTCCCTAATGGTTGACTGGCATTATAGTCTCTGCTTCACAATCCATCCTGAGAAGCAGATATTACCTAAAGGGAAACTGAACCCAAAATCACACAGTTAATGAGTTTCCTACTTGTGACTCACATCCAGGCTTGAGCAATCCTATAGACTTTGTCCTCACTCTGTAATACTATTTCTTGTTATTCCTTCCTGTTAACTGCTTTGCTTATAACAAGATCAACCATATATTTTTCATTGAGAGAAATATGCATCTCCCATATGTGGCACTATTGTTTGATATTTTAATGAGGTCTTACCTTGCTGCATTATTTAAAAATCAAGTATGATTTCTTTTTATGTAGAAACCATCCTAATGGTGAAGTCAAGAATCTACCTTACATTCGCAATAAACTTTCAGTCATTTATGTCATTTATATCTTGTCATAGAAGATCAGCCTGGAATCCATTTCACAGAAGAAGAAAAGGATGCAAAAGCAGATTGTTTTGCCTTAATGCAGTGAGAAGGGGAACTCCAGGATAACTGCAAATGCCACTAAAGAAGAGGGAAAAGAAGGTGATTTTTGTCAGGTATGGATTTGTATGAGTCTGTTTTCACACTGCTATAAAGAACTCCTCTGAGACTGGGTAATTTATAAAGAAAGGGGGTTTAATTGACTCACAGTTCCCACATTGCTTGGGAGCCTCAGGAAACTTACAATCATGGTGGAAGGTGAAGGGGAAGCAGGAAACTTCTTCACAAGGTGGCAGGAGAGAGAGAGAACAAAGTGGAGAAGGCCCCTTATAAAACCATCAGATCTTGTGAGAACTTACTACTATGAAAATCGCATTAGGGAAACCGCCCCCATGAGCAAATCACCTCTCACCAGGTCCCTCTCTCAACACATGGGGATAAAATTCAGATTACAATTTGAGATAGATTTGGGTGGGGACACAGCCAAACCATATCAGGGTTCCTACTCAAAGATTCAGCAGTGAGTCTAAAGAATAGAATCCACTTTGGAGTGGCTGCTGTTTGTGAAGTAGGATTAGAAGTAGGGGTTAACTAGTGCCTTTGTCCATTCAGGCTGCTGTAACAAAGTGCTATAAACTGGTGGCTTGTAAACAACAGAAATTTGTTTTTCATAGTTCTGGATGCTGGGAAGTCCAATATCCAGGCAAAGGCTCTGGCGAAGACTTACTTTCTGATTAATACACAGCCACATTTTCACTGTAACCTAACATGGCAGAAGGGATGAAAGGCTTCTCTGTGGCTTCCTGTATAAAGGCACTATTCCCATTCACGAGTGCTGTGCCTTCCTTATCTAACCCCCCACCCCCAAAACCCCAAATCCTAATATTATCACCTTAAGTGTTAGGATTTCAAAATATAAATTTTTGGAAAACACAAACATTCAGACCATAGCCATTAGGAAGTGGGTGCCCACATGAGATAAGGGTAGTTTAGCAATGGTATCATATAATGATGAGAAAGCAAGGCAGGTGAGGGGTGTCATTGTTAAGAAAGTAGTAGTCGCTCAAAAAAACTGAAAGAGGGAATTATTTGGCATTTCATAGCTGCTGCTTGACCCAGGAGCAACCATGTTTCCTTTTAACATTGCAGTGGGCTTTATGTCTGTCCTGATTCGTGGACTACTGTTTTCTTTCTCAGTCCAAGCTGATTTTCACTTTTAGTCCAGGACAGGATTTACACTTTTACTACTAATTCCAGTTGTTGAGATTATAAATCATTTCTATTTTATTGCTGTGTACTTTCTTTATAGCATGTTTTATATGTTCTACAATATTTTAAGGGTCAGGATAAATAGAGAAAGTCCTTATGAAAGCATAGTTAAAAATCAGTAATGAGTATAAAATCAATTTTCAATCAAGAGTGCGGAAAAATAGTTGTATTTATATGTATTCATTATCCAAATCCTCTGTCTGCATTATTGAGCAATACATTTTAATTTTAGATAATATTTGTGTGAACTAAATGGCTAATACATTTCAATCAAAACAAATTTGTAGTTTAATATGTTGGAAGAATCCAAGTATTTCAAAATGCTCACGGGCAAGAGAAGGAAATGGGAAAGTAATAAGGAGTAATGTTTTATTTATTAGCGCAGAGATGATTTGACTCAAAAGTTATCATGGTGCATTTTGTCACTAACCCCAAAATGAAAGGCTTCTGAATAGTACAGCCCACAATCCAGCTCCTGCTATTGGGCCCGATCAGTGACTTCTGTATTTAACAGCACTTTCCAAATCTCAGAGTGGCTACCAAGAATTCCACATTCCTTTCTGAAGATGTTCACAGAAAATGGACACAGATAAATTCTATTGTTTTCATCTCTACCTTACAATGAGTAATAATTGATTTTAAATTCAATTTTATCTTTGTTGGACCTGAATAGGTCACTAAAAGTGCCAGGGTATCTGACATGCCCTCATACTGAGCAGAACTGAAGGTTCTGGTGGGTTCTTCCTCCTCTGCTATGTTTGGCATCAGTGGGCAAATTGTGTGCTGTCAAATGCTTCATACCAAAAATACTGTTGCTGATTTAATATCACTAATAATAAGACAGGACCCCATGTATTTTACCCATGAAAGAGAAAGGCTAAAATTGCCTGCTTTGATGTGTTAAACCATTGCTTTCTTTTCTTTCCCTTTGTTTTATCAAATATTTTACATATGGAGTAAATTCCAAATGCAGGGCTTTAGGAGATTAAAAAAATTACACAAATCTTGTTACCAAGGTATCCATCTAATGGAAGCTTTGGCAGGAAATCCTAAAGCCCCAGTTCTTCAATTCTGAGATACAGGATCAGGAAATATAAACCTACTATTATTTTTATTACAAACTCTTAGAGATGGGACTTGGGCTTACTTTTTCTATATCATATTCTTCTTTGTATCTATAAGCATATCAACAATGAAGATATATTTCATACTCATTTGGACTTCTGTGTTAAAACTATTTCACCATCTCTGCCTTTGTAAACACGCGTGGTTTCTCCTAACACCTCAAGAATATAGAAAGATCCCATCATTCTAAAATCTTTTATTTACTTTATGGACTTTAGAAACAACTCTTGATACAAATGTACCAGAAAAAAAAAAGTTTCTAATTATCATTCTCCTTTTCATCTCAATTTGCTGCATCTTTATAAAAAAGCACAATTAGACTCTGAAGCCGTTCATGAAAATTCTCATTCACAGTTGAAATCACCATTCAAGCAGGGTGTGGTGGTTCATGCCTGTAATCCCAGCACTCTGGGAGGCCCAGGCGGACAGATCACTTGAGTCCAGGAGTTTGAGACCAGCCTGGGCAACATAGAAAAATCCCATCTCTACAAAAAAAAAAAAAAAAAAAAAAAGCAAAACTTAACTGAACATAATGGTGCACACCTGTAGCCCCAGTACTCGGGAGCCTGAGGCAGGAGGATCACTTGAGCCTGGGAGGTGGAGGTGGCAGTGAGCCGAGATTGCTCCACTGCACTCCAGCATGGGCAACAAAGTGAGACTCTCTCAAATTAAAAAACAACAACAACAACAACAACAACAACAAAATACCATTCAAGTATTTGATATTTATACTACTGTTTTTTGTTTTGTTTTGTACTCTTTTAAGTTTGAATTTTTCTAGAGAAAGCCTTATAATTTTATATTGTCACAGTTTCCTGTATTCTAAGGAATTGGAATTGAATTGCAGAAATGTCCAAGCTTTAGAAAATCAATTTGTTTTGACAATAGATAGGAATTTTAAACATTCAATCCTTTCATGGTATCACATTAGGCTCTTTCAGCTATTCATAGCAGAAGGAATATTCTTACTAAGGCAATCTTCATGCTAGTGCAAGCAAACTCAAATCCTTCCAATGGTACCTTATCTTCTTTCATTATCAAGTGCACTCACTAATCATTTCAAAGAAAAATAAATGTTTCTTGTTTTAAGACATGAATTTTGGGGTTGTTTGTTATATAGGACTTTCGAAAAATGGATAGCTAATACAAACAGAATCTTACTAATCATTATTCGTCTAGTCTCAAATATCCTGCTAAAGACAGACACAGTGGTCACCAAATAATATGTGAGGTCTGTAAATACTTGTCAAATAAATTATGGAATGGACTGACAACAGATATGGGTCAAGAAGAGGGTGATAAAAATGGCGAGAGGATGGTTTCATGCCAGCTTAAACAACAGAAATTTATTCTCTCACAGTTCCAGAGGCCAGAAGTCTGAAATCAAGGTATCAGCTGAGGCGATTACTTCTGGGGGCTCTGAGACCTAAGAAGCTATTTCATGCCTGTATTAGTTTCTTAGGGCTGTGGGCATAACAAAACACCACGAACCAGGTGACTTTAATAACAGAAATTTATTTTCTCAAAGTTCTGGAGGCTGGAATTCCAAGATCAAGGTGTCTATAGGGTTGATTTCCTCTGCAGTCTCTCTACTTGGATGATAGATGGTCACCTTCTTGCTGCCTCTTCATGTGGTCATTCTCTCATGTGTACACACCCCTGGTATCCCTCTCTGTGTCCTAATCTCTTCTTCTTATAAGGACACCAGTCAACTGGATTAGGGCACACCCTAATGGCCTCAGTTTAATTACCTATTTAAATGACCTATCTCCAAATAAAATTATATTCTGAGACATTGCGGGGTTAAGACTTCAGTATACGAATTTGCAGGAGGAGGGGCAACATTCAGTCCATGACAAAGCCTATCTCTTCGCTTCTGGTGATGGCCAGTGATTCTTGGCATTCCTTGGTTTGTAGATGCATCACTCCAATCTCTGCCTCCTTTTTCACATGGTGTGATCCCTGCACATATCTGTATTATGTTGTCTTATGCAAATACCAGTCATACCTAACTAAGGGCACACCCACTTCAGTATGAGCTCATCAGAACTTAACTAATTATATCTGCCATGACTTTATTTCTTATTTTTATTTTTATTTTTATTTTTTTACATTTTCTTTTTTTAATTATACTTTAATTTCTAGGCTACATGTGCACAACATGCAGGTTTGTTACATGGGTATACAAGTGCCATGTTGGCTGCTGCACCCATCAACTCATCATTTACATTAGGTATTTCTCCTAATGATATCCCTCCCCCAGCCCCCCACCCCCGTACAGGCCCCAGTGTGTGATGTTCCCCTCCCTGTGTCCATGTATTCTCATTGTTCAACTCCCACTTATGAGTAAGAACATGTGGTGTTTGGTTTTCTGTCCTTATGATAGTTTGCTGAGAAGTGATGGTTTCCAGCTTCATCCATGTCCCTCCAAAGGACATGAACTCATCATTTTTTATGGCTGCATAGTATTCCATGGTGTATATGTGCCACATTTTCTTAATCCAGTCTATCATTGTCGGACATTTGGGTTGGTCCCAAGTCTTTGCTGTTGTGAATAGTGCTGCAATAAACATACGTGTGCATGTGTCTTTATAGCAGCATGATGTATAATCCTTTGGGTATATACCCAGTAATGGGATGGCTGGGTCTAATGGTATTTCCAGTTCTAGATCCTTGAGGAATCGCCATACCATCTTCCACAATGGTTGAACTAATTTACAGTCCCACCAACAGTGTAAAAGTGTTCCTATTTCTCCACATCCTCTCCAGCATCTGTTGTTTCCTGACTTTTTAATGATCGCCATTCTAACTGGAGTGAGATGGTATCTCATTGCGGTTTTGATTTGCATTTGTCTGATGACCAGTGATGATGAGCATTTTTTCATATGTCTGTTGGCTGCATAAATGTCTTCTTTTGAGAAATGTCTGTTCATACCCTTTGCCCACTTTTTGATGGGGTTGTTTTTTCTTTCTCGTAAATTTGTTTAAGTTATTTGTAGATTCCAGATATTAACCCTTTGTCAGATGGGTAGATTGCAAAAATTTTTTCCGATTCTGCAGGTTGCCTGTTCACTCTGATGATAGTTTATTTTGCTGTGCAGAAGCTCTTTAGTTTAATCAGATGCCATCTGTCAATTCTGGCTCTTGTTGCCATTGCTTTTGGTGTTTTAGTCATGAAGTCTTTGCCCATGCCTATGTCCTGAATAGTATTGCCTAGGTTTTCTTCTGGGATTTTTATGGTTTTAGGTCTTATGTTTAAGTCTTTAATCCATCTTGAGTTAATTTTTGTATAAGGTGTAAGGAAGGGATCCAGTTTCAGTTTTCTACATATTGCTAGCCAGGTTTCCGAGCCCCATTTATTAAATAGGGAATCCTTTCCCTGCAATGACTTTATTTCTAAATAATGTTACAATATGAGTACAGGGGTTTGGAACTTGCGGGGACATAATCCATTAAAAAGAGCAATAAAATAAATTCAATAATAGCTAAGAATAAGGACCCCAAACCTAAACTTTTAGCTGCTAGGAATTGAGAGTTTGCAGCAGGGTCCTGTCCCAGAAGGAAATCACAGAGACCTGCTAAAAGCAGAAAACGTTACAGCTGGAACTGAGGGTCTCAGGTGCAAGGAATCATTCATCTCTGTGACTTTAACTCATTCTGAAGTAAGCAGGGAAAGGAAATGTTAATGAGTGAGAAAGATACCAAGCCAGTAGCTGAAAAATAAAAGTAAGCACTGAAGGATAAGTCCAACAGAGAGGTTAGAAACTAGGAACATAAAGGGAGAGAGATGGCAAGCAAGAGGCTAAAGTGGAAAGGTCAGATCAAGAAAGAGGCTCTCAGCAACGCTGGATCTAGTCTCGGGAGTGGGGAATTGTCACAGGATTCAAAGATCTGGGGGATTCTTATAGTTGTAGTGATCCTGAAATAGATATAAACCGTCTGAGCTATCAAACCATCGCTCCCAGATGCTTAAGTCACCCTGTCTTCTATGTAGAGGACTTTACACACCCTGAAGCAAGAGCAGCCTCCAAGCATGTGGCCATGAAATAGTTAAACATTGAAGTCCCAAATTGCCACTTCATGGAATAGCAGAATCATTTTCACCTTGGTCTCCAGGCAGGAAAGAATCTTTTTGTCCGAAAAGTTTAAATACTCTAGAACTTTCTCAAGAGACTGAGAATGTCCAGACTATCCCCTTAGTTACACTAAGGGAAAACCTGGTCCAAGTTAAGGAGGAAATTAAGACAATATTAAATAATATCACATTTAGAGTTGCACATATTCATGTATGTAGCTCTTGTTCCAGAGTTTGGTTTGATTCATTCTTAAGAAGTCATGTTAAGAAAGCCTTCCACTTGCCATTAGATATTTTATATATAGATGCTGAAACTGGCAAGAGCCTGGCTATGAGAGGCAAGATTCTTCATCAGTAAGAGCAACACCACACAGGCCTCATGACTCACCATATCTCATACACAAACACACACACACACACACACACACACACACACACATCCGCAACCTCTCTCTCTCTTTCTCCATTTAAAAAAGTTTTGCATTTAAGATTCTTTATCTTTCTGGCGTACAGATCACCAAATAGTCATCTAAAGATGGTGAATCTTTAAGGACCATCTCATTAGAGAATATTGGATGTGAGTGGCCTTCAATGTCACTTTGTGACATTAATTCATTTTACAAAGAATTAATCTATGGTCTCAAGAAGGTAAGAGACTTGCTTGAGTTCATACGTCTATATTTAATTACCTTTTCTAATGTGACTGAGACATGTTATGAATTACTGTAAACTACATGTAAATTCCTAGATGTTGTGTTTAGTTTTCTGTGGAAAATAAAGAGAAAAAAATTATGTGTAAATCAAGTGTGTTAATGGTGTCCTTCTGGAACCCAGAACTGAAAACTTGTCTTTTTCATTTTGTTTTATAAATATGTGTCAGTTCAAATGTAACTGAGATGATTAACAATTCTAAAACTTTATCAGCCACCTCTTTAGAGGGAGGATAGTAGGCAGTTGTCTTGGTCCATTTTGTGTTGCTATAACAGAATACTCAAGACTGAGTAATAAGGAAAAAAAGTTTACTTGGCTTGTGATTCTGGAGGCTGGGAAGTCCAAAAAGCATGGCACCAGTATCTGCTTGGCTTCTGGGGAGGGCCTCATGCTCTGTCACAACACAGTGAAGAAGCAGAAATGGGAAGTGGGTGCATGCCAGTAAGGACAAACACGAGAGGCAACCTCACTTTATAACAACCTACTCTCACTGAAACTAGTCCATTCCTGACAGAACTAATCTAATCTCAGAAGAGCAGCACGAAACTACCTGAGCAGAGCCTCCATGACTCAAACACCTCTGATTATGCCCCACCTCTCAAAGATTCCACCTCCCAATGTTGCCACAGGAACACTCAAACAATAGTGACAGCTAAGGATAGAGGCTTATAAAATTGAATTCAGAATACCTAGAGATATGGTATAAAGAGTAAGAATGAGAGACAAGAAATGGGAACACCAAACATGGCCTACTCACAATTTCCACTGGGCTGATATGAAGGTCTTTACTGCAATAATATGATTTAGGCTATATATCTTTATAAAGTAGTTAAACCATCAAAACACTTTTTAGCAAACCAAACAAAACACCCATAACTCATTCCTCTTAAGCAATCCTGATCTTCCTGTTGTCATTTATTGACATAAAATGTTCCAGTCCTAATTAAATCAATTGTTTCTAGTTTGGCCCAAGTACTTCCCCCACACTGAGTTGAGATCCAGCAAACAGGCCCTTGCTTTGTGGGGTTTAAGGAAAATCAGTGAATTGCTGGTGACAGTTTTTCTCTCCAGCAGTCAGAAAGCTTCCTGCCTCAGGGAAGCTCCAATTACATGAACTTAAAATGTAGGTTTTGAAGAGGAGGTGAATGAGCTTAAAGAATATTCCTTTCTGCTCCTACTTGGAAAAAAAAAATCTCTAATAATAATTATTGCTGTAGTTATCACTTGCTATATGTCAAAAACTGTGGGAAACTCTTTTCACGCATTATCTCATTTCATCTTTACAGCATTCCTATGAAACAGCCACAGGGAAAGTAAAACTTGTGTCAGGAGGCTGGCAATAGGAAACTATGACTAGAAAAAATAGGAAAGAGAATAAGCTTTGTGTCATTAAAGCAATAAAACCAGCTGATTTGACAAAAGCATTACACGCACATTATGATGAAGCAAGATCACCCCATTTTCCATTGAACAATTAAAAGATTAACTAACAATGGCAGTTATCAGGCCAGAAGGAAAAAGTACTTCATAGAAGTTTGTTGCTCTCTGTATTAGTTAGGGTTCTTCAGTGAAACAGAACCAATACGAAAGACAATTGATAAATGGAGGGATGGATGGATGGATGGATAGATAGATAGATAGATAGATAGATAGACAGATAGATGGATAGGCAGATAGGCAGATAGGCAGATAGATAGATAGCTATTTTCTATTATATTACATTATGACAATTGGCTCACATGATTATGGAGGTTGAGAGGTCCCACTAGTAATTTAGTCCAAGTCCAAACCTGGAGCTCCAATGTCTGATAGCAGGAGAAGATGGATGTCTCAGCACAAGAAGAGATAATTTATCCTTCTTTTACCTTTTTGTTCAATTTGGGCCCTCAACAGATTGGATGGCACCCACCTACATTGATGAGGGCAGATATTTCTTATTCAACCTACTGATTTAAATGTCAATCTCTTCCAGAAATTTCCTCACTGGAATACACACACAAAAATATACCTTACTAGCTACCTAGGCATCCCTTAGCCCAGTCAAGTTGACACATAAAATTAGCCATCACATTCTCTAAGAGATATTGTAGTGGCCATTCTTAGACCTGTCATGAAATGTCAAATTGTCATGCCAGCTCCAATGCAACTGTTAAAAGTGTGTTAAGGATTAGGCTGGTTTTCTCATCCTTCTAATGGTGGATTTTCCTTCTTCACACTCCTTTAGTCATAACATAACTATTTTTTCTTCTCTATTGTTAAGATCATGTTAGTTTCTAAAGTTAAGTTCATTTAGATTTTCTTGTGTCCTCAATTCTTTTGGGAGTTTGAAAAACATATGATTATATAGCTGACCTAATGTGGTTTAGATTTCTGTCCCTGCCCAAATGTCACGTTGAATTGTAATCCCCAGTGTTGGAAGAGGGGCCTGATGGGAGGTGATTGGATCATGGGGGTGGATTTCCTCCTTGCTGTTCTCATGATAATGAGTGAGTTCTTATGAGATCTGATTGTTTGAAAGTGTGTAGCATTTTCCCCTGCATTCTCTTCCTCTTGCTCCAGTCTTGTAGGACATGCTTGTTTCCCCTTTGCCTTCTGTCATGACTGTATGCTTCCTGAGGCCTCCCCAGCCATGCTTCCTGTACAGCCTGTGGAACTGTAAACCAATTAAACCATTTTTCTTTATAAATTACCCAGTCTCCAGTAGTTCTTCATAGCAATGTGAGAACAGACTAATACATCATCCAACTTGTTCTGATTCTTTGACTGATAGCAACATTCTATTGCAATATTCTTCATCTGAACCAGAAGCTATCCTCCTATCATATTAAGATACAGTCACTATGTGTATTGTGTAATATTTACTAAGTCTCTCTCTAAATGGTGTATCATCTTTGTTATGTTTCAAAATGTCTTTTAGTGTTTAGGAAAATTTCTGTTTTGATTTTAGTAGAAATCTTTGTATTCAAACCTTTTATACTGTTGTTAATCTTCTTTTGTCTTACTTAATCTTTTTCTATCTGGTTTGTCTGTTCTGGCTAGTTCCTTTGATTTTCACTTGCTAATGATAAAACTCAATGATCTTATGCAACATTCCCCATTCGCTCTCCCTTTTCTTCCTATTTTTAAAATTGTATTCCTTCCACCTTTTTAGAACGTATAATGTTTCCTTGGCTTTCTCCCATCTGTGTCACCATTCTCAGTTTAGTCATAATTTTACAACTAAATATATTAAATGTTCACCACTAGTCTTCTGGCTGAAGTTTCTCCAATTGTCTCCTGGAAGGATGAAACTCACCATATACTTGAATTTTGGAGAGTGGTTGATGTATTTAGGATTTCCTTTGTAGTTACATATTTAAAACTGTTTTTTTCTATAGTCTTGATATTTCAAGGACAGCCTGGCTGGAAATTATATTCTTGGGTCATGCTATCTTTGTGTTTTTTGAAAATGCAGCTCTATAGTACACTGGCTTTACATTCAGTTCCTGAAGAGTCAAATGCCAGCCTAATTTTCTTACCTTTATAAGGTACTTTGATCTCTTCGCTTGAAGGCCCTGTGGATTTTTTTCTTTGTCCTTAAAGACTAACAACTTTACTGAGAAAGATTTCAGTTTATTGTCAAATCAATTTTTTGAGATGAACTCTTTTAGTAAGAATTTTAGAAGTTTCATTTTTTTATTTCCAAAAAGATTTTATTGGATTTTAGTTTTCAATATTAGTTCTCTTTTTTTTATTTTTGTGGGTACATTATAAGTGTATATATTTATGGGTTATATGAGATATTTTGATACATGAATTCAAAGCATAATAATCACATCAGGGTACATAGGGTATCCATCACCGCAAGCATTTATCCTTTGGGTTTTAAATGATCAATTATACTCTTTTAGTTATTTTAATTATCTGTTTTTTTTAAATGGTTTGCTTTTTTTCTTCTTCAAAGACCCCAATTTCATGTGTGCTGAAACATCATTTTCTGGCTTCCATTTGAACCACTTTTACTCTCACCCATATTACTTTTTCTTTTATCTAATTTTCATTCTTCTGGCTATTATTCTATTTTCCTTCCATGTATCTTATTACATTTTCCATGTTATCTATTTTTTGAGTCTTTGTATGCTCTGAAGCTTTCTAGGTAATCTATTTTTTGAGTCTTGTTTTTCTGAAATGGCTTACTTTCTTTTATTTATTTTTAAAATTCTTTTCTGCAGTCACATGGATCCCTTTCTCCCTCTGAACCAAAGGGGTAATAGAACAGAAAAGTAGTCAGAGTGAAAAGAGATAACACACTTAATAAATTGAAGTCAAAATATTTTATTTTCACAAATATTGTCTGAAAGATGGCCACATGAGCACATTACTAGGACCTCTGCACAGATATGGAACAGACCACGAATGAGAGGGGCGCTGAAGCTTCCGATCTGCTGGCATCACAGTGACTCCAGCTCTGGTGACAACTGGATGCCAGCAACATACTAAGTGCTCTGCGTACATTATCTTATCTAAAACATCATTTAATACCGAAACAACAAGTCTTTAAGATAAACGGTATTATAATCTACACATTAGGATGAGGAAAATGAGACTACGAGAGGCAAATCTCAAGTGGAAAACTTAATATTTGAATGCAGTACCTCTTTATTTCAAAGTCTGTGTTTCTTTAGCCACTCTGCTTTGATGCCTCTGCTGAATTACCCCCATCGTATCCACTGATACCGCATTCAGTCTTTCCAGCCCCATTTGCCTCTAGATGACACCTCCTCTCTGCCAATGCCTTTAAGTCTTTCTAGACACCTGCATTGGTTTGTCTCCTTGAAGTCTTTGATCCTGGTTCAATTTCCTGCTTACTCATCCGTTGCAATCGCTCAGAATAAAAAACACCTAGAATGTTTCTACCTTCACAGCTCTCATAGTCATCTTAAAGATTCCAAGCACATTCATACCAGAGCTGTAAGAAATTATGAAAATAGCATTGGAATGATCAACTCTTCATCATCTCTCCCCATCTGGAGCCTCCTTGCTCACTGACCACCCTCTATCTATGTTCATAGAGGATAAAAATGGGAGAGATCAAGGGTAACAATCAGGTTGTTTGCTTGAAGTATTCGGTAACTGTGATAACATTTTCTAAGAGGTGGAAGACTGGAGAAGTAGCTGCTTGGGGTATGGAAATCTCTTAGTGCCAACAGCCTTCTTTTAAAAACAGAAACACCAAAAACTGAGGGAAAAGTTAAGACAGGTATTTTCCAAGAATGGACATTTACAACAAGATTTAATTTCATACTTATTGAATAAAAACAAGAATTACATGCTGAATTTTAATGGCTTCAATAATCATAGAAATTTAAATTTTCTTTATCTGAGAGCATATGGGAAATGAGTTTTAATACTATGACTTTTTTCAACATATTTATTTGTATATACAGACATTTATTTGACAGGTTTGTTTTGATTTGTTTGTCTGCCTTCCAAACTAGGACAAAAGTTCCATAGGAAAATGAATTATACCTTCTTTGTTCACTGATGTATCCACAGTACCAAGTGCATTGCAACTGCAATCGATGAGTAAATTAGTATTTGCACATACTAGACATTGACAAATTTACATTGAATGAAAAATAAAATAACTTCAGCTATCAAATTTTATAATAAATATGAAATATTTATCAAAAATGAATTGGGTTATGGATCACTTTAAATACTAATCGTCAGTAAACTGTCATCACTGAAATTAACATTCAAATTTAAGAAGTTCATTCTAGACAGTTATCATTATTTTCTATGGTTTCCTTTACACATGCACAGATATACATGTGCTTACATGCAAATGAACAGTAAGGCTGATAAGTTGCTTGATGGCTAGAGCAATTTAAACTCCTACTCCACACACTTGGCTTCAGAAAGTATAGTGAGGCAGTGACTGCAGATATAGAGAACAGGACAGCAAATGGCAAGAATGTTGATGGTGGCAGTATCTTTTTTTTTTTGTTTGAGACGGAGTCTCTCTCTGTCGCCCAGGCTGGAGTGCAGTGGTGTGATCTCAGCTCACTGCAACCTCTGCCTCCCAGGTTCAAGCGATTCTCTTGCCTCAGCCTCCCAAGTAGCTGGGACTATAGGCATGTGCCACCATGCCCGGCTAATTTTTTTGTATTTTTAGTGGAGACGGGATTTCACTGTGTTAGCCAGAATGGTCTCGATCTTCTGACCTCATGGTCAGCCCACCTTGGCCTCCCAAAGTGCTGGGATTACAAGCATGAGCCACCACGCCTGGCCGGTGGCAGCATCTTTTGCTCATGTATGTTGAATTGCAAGGGCTGCATTTCCTGTAGACACAGGTGCTTTACATAGCAACCTCACTAGTGAGCTTGAGGGTTTTCTTCTAGATGCTGACAGCATCTGCAGCAATGCTTCTATGTTGCTATGTGAAGTAACCCCATCTAGAGGAAATCCAGCCCTCACAGTTAATTCATGTAACAGATTCTGAATTCTTCCAGATAATACATGGACTGTTTCCAGGTTCCATATTCCCCTCTTGCAGGACTTCAAAAAGTACTTGAAATATGACCAAAAACACCTCTTAACCCAAGTTTAGTTATATGTCCAAATTACAGGAAATTCTATGTGACTACATTTCTGTGGTGGGTTTTTGAATAATGCCTCCCAGAAAATGTTCTCATCCTAATCCCTAGGATTTGTGAATATGTTATCTTGTGTGGCAAAAGGGGCTTTGCTGATATAATTAAGTAAAGGATGTTGAGATGGAAAGATTATCCTAGATTATCTGGGTGGGCTCAATGTGTAAACACAGGTTCTTAAGAAAGAGGTAAAAGGTCAAAGGAAGGAGAAAGCGATGTGACAACAGAACCGGAGACTAGAGTCATGTGACCACAGCCATCTCTAATATCTACAACAGGCAAGGAATCAATTCAGAGTCTCCCCTAAAGCCCCTGGAAAGGACAAGCCCTGCTAACACCTTGATTTTAGCCTCATGAGATTAATAGCAGACTTCTGACCTTCAAAATTGCAAAGGAATAAATTTGTGTTGTATTAAACCACTAAGTTTGTGGTAATTTGTTATAATAGCAATAGGCAACTAATGCACTTCCAATATAACTTGCAGTCTCTTTCTTTTTCTTTTTTTTTTTTTTTTTTAAGACAGAGTCTTGCTCTGTCACCCAGGCTGGAGTGCAGTGGTGTGATCTTGCTCTCTGCAACTCTACCTCCTGGGTTCAAACAATTCTAATGCCTCAGCTTCCTGAGTAGCTGGGGCTACAGGCATGTACCACCTGGCCCGCTTAATTTTTTTTGTATTTTTAGTAGAGATGCAATTTTGCCATATTGGCCAGCCTGGTCTCAAACTCCTGGCCTCAAGTGATCGGCTCACCTCGGCCTCCCAAAGTGCTTGGATTACACACATGAGGCACCACACCTGGCCAACTTGCAGACTCTTGTTCATTCCCTTTTTACCCCGATGCAAAATTGCCCTCTCTCGGCTCCATCAGCCCACTTTCTGAGATTTTGTGTCACTTGTTTCTACTTCTTGCTAATCTGTGAAACATGCAGCCATCCTGAACTGGGCTGTAGGTTTATTCAGTCAGTAACTCTCTAACAGTAAAAACTTGCTTCACAGCAGTGACAGTGAAACTCTCCTAGGGGGATTTCAAATTTCCTCTGTCTTTGCCTTGTCTTCAAATCCTTATTCTATGATACTAAGAAAGTAACTTTTTAGCCCCTGCTTGGTACTGTTTTCCTAAGAATGTCTTCCAAATATATCTTTGATCACTCAGTCTGCCTTTAACTTTTTCCATTGTTTAATTTCTTTTTTTTTAAACAGTATTTACATCTTCTATAATTGTATTATACACATCCTTGGAATGGTATTTAAAATTTTACTGGAACAACAAGCCTATCTTGGGTGGTTATGTCTAAAAGGGAAGTACATCCAGCTTGCCAGATCATATTAACTTGTAAAGACTCAAGCTCCTGAACTGAAATGTTCCAGGAAATAATTTGATATATTGATAATTTGATATATTTGATTTCTACTGCTGCTGTAACAAATCACCACAAACTTAGTGGCTAAAAACAACCAAAATGTATTATACAGTTCTGGGGATCAGAAATCCAACATGGGTCTCACTGGGCTAAAACGAAGTTGTCGGCAGGGTTGCATTCCTTCTGGAGACTTAAAGAAGAGTCCACTTCCTTGCCTTTTACAGGGAATCTGAATTCCTTGGCTCATGACCCCTTTCTCCAACCTCAAAGGCAGAATCTTAGTGTCTTCAGATGTCCCTCTGACTCTCTCTCTCTCGCCTGGTTCTTATACTGATAAAAATCTATGTGATTCCATTAGATCTCGGAGACAGTCCAGGATAATCTTGCCATCTCAAGGCCAGCTGATTAGCAGCTTTAATCTCACCAACAACCTTAATTTCCCTGTGCTGTATAAGATAACTGATATGGTTTGGCTGTGTCCATACCCAAATCTCATCTTGAATTGTAGCTCCCATAATCCCCACATGTCATGGGAGGGACCCCAGTGGGAGGTAATTGAATCATGAGGGCAAGTTTTTCCCCGTGCTGTTCTCATGATAGTGAATACGTCTCACGAGATCTGATGGTTTTATAAAGGTCAGTTCCCCTACACACTCTCTCTTGCCTGCTGCCATGTAAGACAGGCCTTTGCTCCTCCTTTACCTTCCACCATGATTGTGATGCCTCCCCAGCCATGCTGAACTGTGAGTCAATTAAACCTATTTCCTTTATAAATTACCCAGTCTCGAGTTTGTCTTTGCTAGCAGCATGAGAACAGACTAATACAGTAACATATTCAGCTTCCAGGGATTAGAACATAGACACCTTTAGGGGGTCATTATTCTGCCTACCAAAGTTCATAAGAGCATTCACTAGTATTTTAGCCATATCCTGACACTGTCTAGCTGTGGGAACTTTTAAAAGTCATCTGGCTCGTCTTTTTCCCTTGGGAAATTAGAGATCTGAGCTAGCAACTTCTAAGCTCCTGTTGCAGTTGAAACACGGCAAGTATTTCAAAATATAGAAACATATATTTTTAAAAATATTAAACCATGTATTACCCTCCCACAAATCATGTTTCTCTTTACTTTTGTAAAGAGAAAGAAGTATCTTCTAGACTCCTAGTCTAGACTCCTAGAATCCTAGTCTAGAAGATACTTCTCCACAAAGGCCTCTGTGAAAACCTGAAAAAAAAATACATCCATTAGTAATAACAGCCAATAACTTTTAAGCTATAGCAAATGTTGCAAATAGCCAAAAATAAAAAAATAAATAAATAATTGAATCCTTCACAAGTTGCAGCCATTGTATATTTCTTAGCATGTAAATTATTTTACACATTGCAGGGGCTTCCAAACACTTCACAGAGTATGTTCAGAATTACTCCTTGAAAGCATGCAGTAAGTTATGTAACAAGCAACCCCCACTTTTTAAAGCTCACAGTATTGTTATCAGGGTTGTATTTCCTATTATTGAGGTGAAGAAACAAGCTCAAAAACATTATGAGTTTTTCCAAGGTGACCCAGTTAGAAAGTAATAGAGTAAGGAATGAAGTTATGTTTATACCTGTAAGCAGACACTGTTTTCTCCACATCAATATCCCACACATACTTATCTCTTCCATTAATAAATGGAGGCAAACAGTTGAGAAGAATAAAAAGAAGGATTCACTGGTAAAAGGTGGGCTTCCACTAGCCATTGTATTGATGATAAATCATTTTTTATGACTCCTGCCTTTGTTTCAAACTTTAACCTCTCATTTCTATCAATTACACAATTTGTACAAAAAGTGTGGGAAGAAATGATGTACATATGATTTTAATCTGAATGCATTTAATCAAGGGCTTCTTATGGGTTGAGAGATTCTTGGTTACTGCATCCCCAAGTGAGTTTATGCTTATGGAACTCAATTTACTAATTTACTAGGCCAATATATAAAGTTGAATAAAAAACACTAAACAAGCTGCAGTACATGAGGAAGGATAAAAACTGATATCATATATTAGCACTATGCAGCTTTTTTCTTTATAAACAAATATGACCTAAAAACAAAAAAACAAACAAACTATGGCATAACTTTTTTAAGGGGATATTTTATTCCTGATACTTATTTTATTGCAAATTAGTATATAAAAGTTGCTATTCAAATTATGATACATATTAATTATATATGTTAATTTTAATGGTTTACTAATTAATACTAAATTAATAACATATAAAATATATCTATTAAGAGACTGTGTGTGCCTTTTCACCAACATGCCACATCCCATCCTACTCTCTCCAATGAAGAAAAACAATACATAACTAGCACAAATCTAGCTTGGAGTCATAGTGAAGGCAGTAGTTTGCCAAATACGTAGGTTAAGGTTTAATGCCTAAAGAAGCTGCCTCTGATTATTTTTCTTGTTCCTTCTATGATCTAGTTTGAGGTTTGATGCCAAAAGTCAAACACAGAAAATCTGTTAAAGGACTAAATCTAAGAGAATAGATCATCGAGAATAACTTTGGAGTAAAACAAACCAAATCAATATAATTATGTCAGTGTATGCTTCCAAACCTAAAATCATTCACCAACATACAGATTCTGTGACAAATCACTTTACATCAAAAACCATTTTTTTTTTTTGTGGTTAATTACAAAAATTTGTTTCGCAGGAAGACAATGTATCTACATCTCTTACAAAAATCCACAGCACAGATTGCACTTTGCACATGAAAACTGACAACCTTGTCTTACAGACTTTCAAAGTTGAAATAGCACCATTGACAATGTTTGGGCTACTCTGTGGGCTATTCACTTCATCAAAGATAATATTTGTATGAGAGACATAAGATGTAATCGATCCTGTGACTAAAATCTTAGATAATAGAGTTCTTTACTGCCCATGCCACCTCTTCTGTTGAATGACACTTCAGAAGATATTTTACAGAACATCACCAATGATGGCCATTATCTCCCCCATAAATCAATCAGCTATTACTTTGCTGTTGTCAAAAATAGCACCAAAGCCAGAGTCAGAACCTAATAAACACAGCAGTTATTTTTAAAGGAGTTCCTCTTAAAGTCCAAATATAGATTTAATAGTTTAAGAAATAAATGGAAATAAAAATATTTTAAATTAAGTCACCATTAATATTAATTCATTCACTGAATACTCATTAATGATTACTGCATTCCAAAGCCTGACTAAGCACTGTGGGTACCCAGATGAACAAGATATTATAGCTTTGTATGCTGCCTCCATGGAGGCTTACAATGTAACAATGATGACAGACATCAAATAAGCAATAATATTAAAATATCAGCAGTAACTGTCAAGCTATCCTAGAGGACCTACAAGGTGCTTTGGGAACACAAAGTATACAGTCGCACAGCTGGTAGTTTTATAACTGAAATATTAAAAAATATAAAACAAAAAACACTTTAAGATAGAGGAAAATTTATTATTTTAAAATTTAATTTTATAATTATGGAATAAAAATGAATATTTAATATCTAAATTTAAATATGTGGGTTATGTAATTATTCCACAGAATTTTTTTCCAATATGCTCTTGAAATCATAACCTCCATTAGAGGAAAAAATTATATCTACAAAAGAAGACTCAACAATTACTTCAGGTTTTAGAGCTGAAATGCAGAAAAATATAATTGATTACTTATATTTGATCAAGATTTTTGTGACTAGGAAAAGTGTTTTTAAAAATAATGACCATTCTAAACATCTACATATAATTTGTTTTAAAAATTTTTCCCATGTGGCAGCCAAGATGGCCGAATAGGAACAGCTCCGGTCTACAGCTCCCAGCGTGAGCCACGCAGAAGACAGGTGATTTCTGCATTTCCATCTGAGGTACCGGGTTCATCTCACTAGGGAGTGCCAGACAGTGGGCGCAGGACAGTGGATGCAGCGCACCATGCACGAGCCAAAGCAGGGCAAGGCATTGCCTCACTCGGGAAGTGCAAGGGGTCAGGGAGTTGCCTTTCCTAGTCAAAGAAAGGGGTGACAGACAGCACCTGAAAAATCCGGTCACTCCCTCCCTAATACTGCATTTTTCCGATGGGCTTAAAAAACGGCGCACCAGGAGATTATATCCCACACCTGGCTCGGAGGGTCCTAGGCCCACAGAGTCTCGCTGATTGCTAGCACAGCAGTCTGAGATCAAACTGCAAGGCGGCAGCGAGGCTGGGGGAGGGGTGCCCACCATTGCCCAGGCTTGCTTAAGTAAACAAAGCAGCCGGGAAGCTCAAACTGGGTGGAGCCCACCACAGCTCAAGGAGGCCTGCCTGCCTCTGTAGGCTCCACCTCTGGGGGCAGGGCACAGACAAACAAAAAGACAGCAGTAACCTCTACAGACATAAATGTCCCTGTCTGACAGCTTTGAAGAGAGCAGTAGTTCTCCCAGCACGCAGCTGGAGATCTGAGAACGGGCAGACTGCTTCCTCAAGTGGGTCCCTGACCCCTCACCCCCGAGCAGCCTAACTGGGAGGCAGCCCCCAGTAAGGACAGACTGACACCTCACACGACCGGGTACTCCTCTGAGACAAAACTTCCAGAGGAACGATCAGACAGCAGCATTTGCGGTCCACGAAAAACTGCTGTTCTGCAGCCACCGCTGCTGTTACCCAGGCAAACAGAGTCTGGAGTGGACCTCTAGCAAACTCCAACAGACATGCAGCTGAGGGCCCTGTCTGTTAGAAAGAAAACTAACAAACAGAAAGGACATCCACACCAAAAACCCATCTGTACATCACCATCATCAAAGACCAAAAGTAGATAAAACCACAAAGATGGGGAAAAAACAGAGCAGAAAAACTGGAAACACTAAAAAGCAGACCGCCTCTCCTCCTCCAAAGGAACGCAGTTCCTCACCAGCAATGGAACAAAGCTGGACGGAGAATGACTTTGACGAGCTGAGAGAAGAAGGCTTCAGAAGATCAAACTACTCTGAGCTACAGGAGGAAATTCAAACCAAAGGCAAAGAAGTTAAAAACTTTGAAAAAAATTTAGAAGAATGTATAACTAGAATAACCAATACAGAGAAGTGCTTAAAGGAGCTGATGGAGCTGAAAGCCAAGGCTCAAGAACTACGTGAAGAATGCAGAAAGAAGCCTCAGGAGCCTATGCGATCAACTGGAAGAAAGGGTATCTGTGATGAAAGATGAAATGAATGAAATGAAGCGAGAAGGGAAGTTTAGAGAAAAAAGAATAAAAAGAAACCAACAAAGCCTCCAGGAAATATGGGACTATGTGAAAAGACCAAATCTACGTCTGATTGGTGTACCTGAAAGTGATGGGGAGAATGGAACCAAGTTGGAAAACACTCTGCAGGATATTATCCAGGAGAACTTCCCCAATCTAGCAAGGCAGGCCAACATTCAGATTCAGGAAATACAGAGAATGCCACAAAGATACTCCTTGAGAAGAGCAACTCCAAGACATATAATTGTCAGATTCACCAAAGTTGAAATGAAGGAAAAAATGTTAAGGGCAGCCAGAGAGAAAGGTCGGGTTACCCACAAAGGGAAGCCATCAGACTAACAGCAGATCTCTCGGCAGAAATTCTACAAGCCAGAAGAGAGTGGGGGCCAATATTCAACATTCTTAAAGAAAAGAATTTTCAACCCAGAATTTCATATCCAGCCAAACTAAGCTTCATAAGTGAAGGAGAAATAAAATACTTTACAGACAAACAAATGCTGAGAGATTTTGTCACCACCAGGCCTGCCCTAAAAGAGCTCCTGAAGGAAGCACTAAACATGGAAAGAAACAACCGGTACCAGCCACTGCAAAACATGCCAAATTGTAAAGACCATCGAGGCTAGGAAGAAACTGCATCAACTCACGAGCAAAATAACCAGCTAACATCATAATGACAGGATCAAATTCACACATAACAATATTAACGTTAAATGTAAATGGACTAAATGCTCCAATTAAAAGACACAGACTGGCAAATTGGATAAAGAGTCAAGACCCATCAGCGTGCTGTATTCAGAAAACCCATCTCATGTGCAGAGACACACATAGGCTCAAAATAAAAGGATGGAGGAAGATCTACCAAGCAAATGGAAAACAAAAAAAGGCAGGGGTTACAATCCTAGTCTCTGATAAAACAGACTTTAAACCAACAAAGATCAAAAGAGACAAAGAAGGCCATTACTTAATGATAAAGTGATCAATTCAACAAGAAGAGCTAACTATCCTAAATATACATGCACCCAATACAGGAGCACCCAGATTCATAAAGCAAGTCCTGAGTGACCTAAAAAGAGACCTACAAAGAGACTTAGACTCCCACACATTAATAATGGGAGACTTTAACACCCCACTGTCAACATTAGACAGATCAACGAGACAGAAAGTTAACAAGGATACCCAGGAATTGAACTCAGCTGTGCACCAAGTGGACCTAATACACATCTGCAGAACTCTCCACCCCAAATCAACAGAATATACATTTTTTTCAGCACCACACCACACCTATTCCAAAATTGACCACATAGTTGGAAGTAAAGCTCTCCTCAGCAAATGTAAAAGAACAGAAATTATAACAAACTGTCCCTCAGACCACAGTGCAATCAAACTAGAACTCAGGATTCAGAAACTCACTCAAAACTGCTCAACTGCATGGAAACTGTACAACCTGCTCCTGAATGACTACTGGGTACATAACAAAATGAAGACAGAAATAAAGATGTTCTTTGAAACCAATGAGAACAAAGACACAACATACCAGAATCTATGGGACACATTCAAAGCAGTGTGTAGAGGGAGATTTATAGCACTAAATGCCCACAAGAGAAAGCAGCAAAGATCCAAAATTGACACCCTAACATCACAATTAAAAGAACTAGAAAAGCAAGAGCAAACACATCCAAAAGCTAGCAGAAGGCAAGAAATAACTACAATCAGAGCAGAACTGAAGGAAATAGAGACACAAAAAACCCTTCGAAAAATTAATGAATCCAGGAGCTGGTTTTTTGAAAGGATCAACAAAATTGATAGACCACTAGCAAGGCTAATAAAGGAGAAAAGAGAGAAGAATCAAATAGACGCAATAAAAAATGATAAAGGGGATATCACCACTGATCCCACAGAAATACAAACTACCATCAGAATACTACAAACACCTCTACGCAAATAAACTAGAAAATCTAGAAGAAATGGATAAATTCCTGGACACATACACCCTCCAGAGACTAAACCAGGAAGAAGTTGAATCTCTGAATAGACCAATAACAGGCTCTGAAATTGTGGCAATAATCAATAGTTTACCAACCAAAAAGAGTCCAGGACCAGATGGATTCACAGCCGAATTCTACCAGAGGTACAAGGAGGAACTGGTACCATTCCTTCTGAAACTATTCCAATCAATAGAAAAAGAGGGAATCCTCCCTAACTCATTTTATGAGGCCAGCATCATTCTGATACCAAAGCCTGGCAGAGACACAACCAAAAAAGAGAATTTTAGACCAATATCCTTGATGAACATTGATGCAAAAATCCTCAATAAAATACTGGCAAACCGAATCCAGCAGCACATCAAAAAGCTTATCCACCATGATCAAGTGGGCTTCATCCCTGGGATGCAAGGCTGGTTCAATATACACAAATCAATACATGTAATCCAGCATATAAACAGAACCAAAGACAAAAACCACAGGATTATCTCAATAGATGCAGAAAAGGCCTTTGACAAAATTCAACAACCCTTCATGCTAAAAACTCTCAATAAATTAGGTATTGATGGGACGTATCTCAAAATAATAAGAGCTATCTATGACAAGCCCACAGCCAATATCATACTGAATGGGCAAAAACTGGAAGCATTCCCTTTGAAAACTGACACAAGACAGGGATGCCCTCTCTCACCACTCCTATTCAACATAGTGTTGGAAGTTCTGGCCAGGGCAATTAGGCAGGAGAAAGAAATAAAGGGTATTCAATTAGGAAAAGAGGAAGTCAAATTGTCCCTGTTTGCAGATGACATGATTGTATATCTAGAAAACTCCATTGTCTCAGCCCA
Organism: Homo sapiens; assembly: GCF_000001405.40. Lineage (NCBI taxonomy): Eukaryota > Metazoa > Chordata > Mammalia > Primates > Hominidae > Homo > Homo sapiens. The sequence goes on along the minus strand of NC_000002.12, from coordinate 228,201,032 downwards.
AAATCTCCTTAAGCTGATAAGCAACTTCAGCAAAGTCTCAGGTTACAAAATCAATGTACAAAAATCACTAGCATTCTTATACACCAATAACAGACAAACAGAGAGTCAAATCATGAGTGAACTCCCATTCACAACTTCTTCAAAGAGTATAAAATACCTAGGAATCCAACTTACAAGGGATGTGAAGGACCTCTTCAAAGAGAACTACAAACCACTGCTCAATGAAATAAAAGAGGATACAAACAAATGGAAGAACATTCCATGCTCATGGGTAGGAAGAATCAATATCGTGAAAATGGCCATACTGCCCAAGGTAATTTATAGATTCAATGCCATCCCCATCAAGCTACCAATGACTTTCTTCACAGAATTGGAAAAAACTACTTTAAAGTTCATATGGAACAAAAAAGAGCCCGCATCACCAAGTCAATTCTAAGCCAAAAGAACAAAGCTGGAGGCATCACACTACCTGACTTCAAACTACACTACAAGGCTACAGTAACCAAAACAGCATGGTACTGTTACCAAAACAGAGATATAGATCAATGGAACGGAACAGAGCCCTCGGAAATAATGCCACATATCTAAAACTATCTGATCTTTGTCAAACCTGAGAAAAACAAGCAATGGGGAAAGGATTCCCTATTTAATAAATGGTGCTGGGAAAACTGGCTGGCCATATGTAGAAAGCTGAAACTGGATCCCTTCCTTACACCTTATACAAAAATTAATTCAAGGTGGATTAAAGACTTACATGTTAGACCTAAAACCATAAAATCCCTAGAAGAAAACCTAGGCATTACCATTCAGGACATAGGCATGGGCAAGGACTTCATGTCTAAAACACCAAAAGCAATGGCAACAAAAGCCAGAATTGACAAATGGGATCTAATTAAACTAAAGAGCTTCTGCACAGCAAAAGAAACTACCATCAGAGTGAACAGGCAACCTATAAAATGGGAGAAAATTTTCGCAACCTACTCATCTGACAAAGGGCTAATATCCAAAATCTATAATGAACTCAAACTAATTTACAAGAAAAAAACAAACAACCCCATCAAAAAGTGGCAAAGGACATGAACAGACACTTCTCAAAAGAAGACATTTATGCAGCCAAAAAACACATGAAAAAATGCTCACCATCACTGGCCATCAGAGAAATGCAAATCAAAACCACAATGAGATACCATCTCACACCAGTTAGAATGGTGATCATTAAAAAGTCAGGAAACAACAGGTGCCAGAGAGGATGTGGAGAAATAGGAACACTTTTACACTGTTGGTGGGACTGTAAACTAGTTCAACCGTTGTGGAAGTCAGTGTGGAAATTCTTTAGGGATCTAGAACTAGAAATACCAATTGACCCAGCCATCCCATTACTGGGTATATACCCAAAGGATTATAAATCATGCTGCTATAAAGACACATGCACACGTATGTTTATTGCGGCACTATTCACAATAGCAAAGACTTGGAACCAACCCAAATGTCCAATAATGATAGACTGGATTAAGAAAATGTGGCACATATACACCATGGAATACTATGCAGCCATAAAAAATGATGAGTTCATGTCCTTTGTAGGGACATGGATGAAGCTGGAAACCATCATTCTCAGCAAACTATCACAAGGACAAAAAACCAAACACCGCATGTTCTCACTCATAGGTGGGAATTGAACAATGAGAACACATGTACACAGGAAGGGGAACATCACACGCCAGGGCCTGTTGTGGAGTGGGGGGAGGGAGGAGGGATAGCATTAGGAGATATACCTAATGTAAATGACGAGTTAATGGGTGCAGCACACCAACATGGCACATGTATACATATGTAACAAACCTGCACGTTGTGCACATGTACCCTAAAACTTAAAGTATAAAAAAAAAAGAAAGAAAGAAACAAAGCCTTAATATCAGGGCTGGGGGAGGGCACCACTGTCATCTTCAGGGCACTGGGTAAATCCCATCCCAGCTGGGAAAGTAAGCAGAACAACTGTTTTCCCCTGGAGAGAGAGCAGGAATTCCGTGATGGGATCAGGACTACAGCTAGGGGAGGGAGCAATGAGAAAGCCTTACCCAGGAGTATAGTACTTGCCTGAGACTGAGACTTAATCAGAATTAAGAGAATGTCCTCCTTCCCTGTCTTGCACCACCGAAATAGCAACGTGTAGAGTATAAAGTAGTAGCGGAATGGCACTAGGATAGCTGTAAGAGCACAGAGACATCCAGTGAGAAGCACAGCACCAAGGGAAGAAGCAAATGCGAAGGTGGAAAGGCACTGAGTAAAGCCCTCTGGCAAATCAGCCCGCACAGTACACACAAGGCAGCACTACAGGATTTTGAAAACGATGGGCTCTCCAGCAAGGAGAGTGGGCTGAGGAAGGGGCCAGAGTCTACGCGACAGCGCCAGCTCTCCCTTCGCCTGCCAAGGTTGCTTATGAACCTTCTAGGAAGACAAGAATCGGGCCTCTCTGACCTTATGAAAGTATGTTAATCAAATAAGGACATAAAACGAGCTTTATTGGCCAGGCACTGTGGCTCACGCCTGTAACAGCAGCACTTTGGTAGGCCGAGCCTGGCAGATCGCGAGGTCAAGAGATCGAGACCAGCCTGGCCAACATGGTGAAACCCCGTCTCTACTAAAAATACAAAAACTAGCTAGGCGTGGTGGCGCACATCTGTAATCCCAGATACTCCGGAGGCTGAGGCAGGAGAATGGCTTGAACCCGGGAGGCGGAGGTTGGAGGGAGCCGAGATCACACCACTGCACTCCAGCCTGGTGACAGAGTGAGATTCCATCTCAAAAACAAAACAAACAAAAAACAAAAAAACAAGCAAACAACAACAACGACGAACGTGCTTTATTTAACAGCTCCCTAAGTAGCTTGCCACTGGGACAGAAGGTCTGTGTGTTTCCATTGTTACAGTTTTGATGTTTGTTTTTCTGTGATGAAGCATGATTTTGGTGTCATATTCAAGAACTCTTTCCTTAGCTAATTTTCTATTTTTCTAAAGGTTTTATTATTTTGCATTTTACATTTAAGTTTATAATCCATTTTGTGTTAATTTTTGTATAAGGAATAAGATATTAGCTGAGGTTTTTTTTTCATATGAATGTTTCTTTGTTCCAGAACAGTTTGTTAGAAAGAATATCCTTTCTCCATTAAATTGTCTTTGTAACTTTGCCAACAGTCAGTTGACCATATTTGTGTATGTCTATTTCTGCACTTTCTATTCTGCTGTACTCATCTGTGTGTTTATCTATTTGTTAGTACGTAAGAGTCTTGATTACTGTAACTTTATAGTAAAGTCCCACAAGTGTTATGGGCGTGTCTGTGTGGGAGGTGCACTTGCATAGTGTTATTCAGCACACCATATATGGAGAGGAAAATTCTCCCAGCTTCTAATCTCTTGGCTCCTGCTTTTATGCTTTTCCTACATCATTTACTCTTCCATAATTCCCCTCATGTATTTTATTTTTCTTTTGATGCTATTTTACTGTGGTAAGAACACTTAACATGACATTCACCTTGTAACAGATTTGTAAACGTACATTATTGTTGATTACAGGTACATTGTTGTACAGCAGCTCTTTGGACATTATTCATCTTGCTTACCTGAAACTTACTGCCTGTTGATTAGGAGTTCCTTTTTTTCTCCCTCCACCCAGTTTCTAGCAGCCACCATTCTACTCTGATTATATGAATACAACTATCTTAGATATCCTACGTAAGTGGAATCTTGCAGTATTTTTCTTTCCATGACTGGCTTATTTTACTTAGCATAATGTCTTCAAGTTTCATCCATGTTATTGCATATTTCCATATTTCAGAATCTCCATCTTTTTTTTTTTTTTTTTTTTTTGGAAATGGAGTTTCGCTCTTGTCTCCCAGGCTGGAGCACAATGGCGTGATCTTGGCTCACTGCAACTTCTGCCACCCAGGTTCAAGCTATTCTCCTGCCTCAGCCTCCCAAGCAGCTGTGATTACAGGCGCCCGCCACCATGCCTGACTAATTTGTTTTTTTTTGTATTTTTAGTAGAGACAGGGATTTCACCATGTTGGTCAGGCTGGTCTTGAACTCCTCACCTCAGGTGATCCACCCACCTCAGCCTCCGAAAGTGCTGGGATTACAGGCGTGAGAATCTCCATCTTTTAAAGGCTGAATTGTATTCCATTGCATGTGTATTACACATTTTCTTTATCCACTCATCTGTCAATGGACATTTAGGCTATCTCCATATCTCTCCTATTGCAGATAGTGCTGTAAGGAGTATCGAAGTCCTAACATCTCCTCAGTATCCTGATTTTAATTCTTTTGGATAAATATTCAGAAGAGGAATTGCTACATCATGTGGTAGTTTTATCTTCATATTTTTGAAAAACCTCTGCACTATTTTCCATAATAGTTGCACCATTTTATATTCCCACCAACAGCGTGCAAGCGTCCCAGTTTCTCCACATTCTTGCCAACACTTGTTGTCTTTTATTTATTTATTTTTTTATTTTTAAGAGCTGTCCTGACAGGTGTGAGAGGATATTTCATAGTGATTTTGACTTTAATTTCCCTGATGACAAGTAACATTGAACATTTTTTCATATACCTCTTGGCCGTTTGCATGTCTTCTTTAGAGAAATGTCTATTCAAATAATCTCCCCATTTTTTAACTGAGTTATTCATTTTTTGCTATTGAATTATAGCAGTTCCTTACATAATGAGGAGATTAACCACTTATCAGATATATGATGTGTAAATATTTCTCCTATTACACAGGTTGCCTTTTCATTCTGTTGGTTCCTTGATTGTACAGAAGCTTTTTAGTTTGATATTATCTCACTGGTTTATTTTTGTTTCTGTTGTTGATGCTTTTGGTGTCATAGCCATGAAATCATTGCCAAGACCAATGTCATGAAGATTTTCTCACTTTCTTTTAGAAGTTTTACAGTTTCAAGACTGAAATTTAAGTCTTTAATCCACTTTGAGTTGATTTTGTATCTGATATAAATAGAATGCATCATTTTATTTCAAATAATCTTTTTAAAGAGGATTTTAAAAATCAACAAAAGCCATTTTTCATTATATGAAACATCTGTAAAATAGTAAATTAAAGCTAACAAAGAAAGAGGAAACAAATGGCATCAAGTGTTCATCAGTGAACTTTCAATACATCTATTTTAATTATTCTGCATAAATAAGAAGTGGTAACAATTACATAAATATATAAATATTTTCACTATCTTTTCTGTATATATCAATATCATACCTACATAGTTTTTCCATCTGGATTTACAATATTTTATGGAAATTACTTCACAGATAAGAGGGCTTTTTTCCTCACTACCAGATATATCCTTAGCTATTGCACATGTATATGTGTTTCTAATAATTAGAAGTTGATAGAATTAAACATTCAAAGTGCATTTCATCTCATAAGACAATGTAATATTCCAAATGCTAAAGAAATAATATCTTTCTTATGAGAATGAATCATTCAAAACCACAATTCCCAAATTAATATATAAATTCAGTGCAAACCTAAATCATACCAGCAGGCTTTCCCATAGAGATCTGTTAAGAACTGAATATTTGTGTTTCTTCAAAATTCATGTGTTAAATACCTCCAAAATGCATGTGTTAAAGGCCCAACTAGCAATGTGACTGTATTTGGAGTCACGGCCTTTATGAGGATACCTAATGTTAAACGAGATCGTAAGGATGAGGCCCTGATCCAGTAGAATTGTTGTTCTTATTAGAAGAGACACCACAGAGCTAACTCTTTCTCTCTCTCTCTGCCGTGTGAGGTCACAGTGAGAAGCAGCTTTCTGTAAGCCAGGAAGGGAGCCCTCACCAAAAACCAAATCAGACGGCACTTTGATCTTAGACTCCCTCAGAACTATGAGAAATAAATTTCTGTTGTTTAAGCCACCTAGTCTTTGGGATTTGGCTGTGGCTGCCTGAGCAGACTAATACAATATCAATCAGCTATCTCTAAAATTTTTTTGTTGAAAGAACTAGAATAGCCGAAAGAACTTTGATAATGAAGAACAAAATTGGAGGGCTCACACTAACTGATTTTAAGGCTCACTATAAAGTTACAGTAATGAAGACTGTCATAGTAGTGACAAATGGATAAACACACAGAAGAGTATAGCAGAATAGAAAGTCCAGAAATAGACATACACAAATATGGTCAAGTGATTGTTGACAAAGTTGCAAAGACAATTTAATGGAGAAAGGATATTCTTTCTAACAAACTGTTTTGGAACAATGAAACATTTACATGAAGAAGATAACATCAACCAATATCTTATTCTTTATACAAAAATTAATACAAAATGGATTATAAACTTAAATGTAAAATTATAAAACCTTTAGAAAAATAAGAAAATTAGGCTAAGAAAAGAGTTCTTGAAAATGACACCAAAATCATGCTTCATCAAAGAAAAAAATTGACAAATTAGACTTCAACAAAATGAAAAACTTTGTTACCATGAAAGGCCTGTTAAGAGAATAGAAACATAACTTACAAACTGTAAATAAAATATCTATTGATTATATATCTGAAAAATTTGGTATTATATTTAGAATGTGTGTGTGAATGAGTGTAAAACCTCAAAACTCAACAATGTTTCAATTTCTAAAAAAAGGAAAAATGGATAAAACTTTGAACAGATAAATCATTACGGAAGATGTGTAGATGGAAAAGAAGCACAGAAAAGACATTAAACATCAGTAATCATTAGTTAAATGCAAATTGAAACTACGTTGGCATACCACTACATACTCATTAGAATGATTAAATTAAAATAAAATTGATACTATCCAATATTGATGGGAATGTAGAGCAATAGAACTCTCCTAAGTTGCTGGTAAGAATTCAAAATGGTAGTCACTATGGAAAATAATTTGGCAGTTTCCTATAAAGTTAAACCATAAACTTATCATATGACCCAGAAATTCCACTCCTACATATTTACTTTAGAGAAATGAAAGTGTATATTCACACAAAAACTTCCACCTTGGTTTTATAACAGCAAATTCTTAATTGTCAGAAAACTGGAAATATACCAAATGTTCTTCAGTAAGTAAATGGATAAACTGAGGTGCATTCATACAACAAAATACAATTCTGCAATTAAAAAATGTGAATTATTGTTAGACACAATGTCTTAGTCTGCTTCTGCTGCTATAGCAAAATACCTTAAACTAGGTAATTTCCAAACAATAAAAATTTATTTCTCACTGTTCTGGAAGGTGGGAATTCCAAGATCAAGGCATTAGCAGATTTGATGTCTGGTGGGTACTGCTCACTGCTTCCAACATTGTGCCTTCTTGCTATGTCCTCACATGGCAGAAGAGGGCAAAAAGGAAAGAATATTGTGTTCTCACATGGCAGAAGGGATGGAAGGGCAAAAGGCACTAGAACACTCCATTCAAACTCTTTTATGAGAGCACAGATCTATTATGAGGACAAAGCCCTCATGATTTAATCACTTCCTTTAAAAATAAAAAAAGCCCACCTCTTAATACTATCACCTCGAGGTTTACATTCCAACATAAAAATTTTAGAGTGACGCATACATTCAAACCATGGCATACAACAACCTGGATAAACTTCAAGTGCATTGTGCTAAGAAAAAGACACCATACAAATGATTTCATAATGCATACTTATATTTATGTGACATTCTGAGGAAAAAAACCAACAACAACAAATTTTGGAATGGAGAATAAATCAGTAGTTGCCAGGGGTGAGGGGTGGTTGAAGATGGTTGAAGGACTCCAAAGGTATAGTATAGGGGAAGTTTGGGGGAGAAGAGGGAATCATCTTGTATTCTGATTAGGTGGTGGTTACCTGACTTGATAAGTTTGTCAAAACACCCAGAACTCTACACACTCAAAAGAAAGTGAATTCTACTGTGCGTAAATGTTTTTAAACAAATTTTAAAATGTACCTTTAAACAAACAACAAAATATCTTCAGAATGTTCCTAGTTCTTACCCCTGCCCTGATGCCCCCATAGATGGAGCACTTATCTTCTCTCATTTCTGTGGACTCTATTCCCACATCACAGCCAAGCTAATCTTTTGACAACATCAATCGCATTTCTCTTCTCTACTCAAAACCCTCCAAAGGCTCCCCATTTCATTGAGAATAAAATCAGAGTCCTTAAATGGTCTACAAGGGCTTTTATGATTTGCTCCTCCCCAACCTCCTTCCTATCCTGCAACTTTCCCTTGGAACCATTCTCTCTATTCCCTCTGATATTCACTCCCACCATCCTTTCCTCAGTGATCACTATCTCAGTAGGGCCAAACCCCACCATTCTGCTTAATGCTAAAAGTACCCAGTATTCTCAACACCTCTGCTCAACTTTTCCTTCTTAAAAGTACATATCACCTTCCATTAAACCAATTCATGTACTTCTATGTGTGTTGTTGATTGTCTGCCTTCTCCTAGGAGAACATATAAAAAAAACAGGAGGACAAGGGTCTGTGAATGTTTTATTCACTAATGGAATCCAAGTACCTAAAAAAAGATCTGCTATTGAAAAGGAGCTCTATAAGTATGTGTGGGCTGAATAAATTATTGAACATTGTGAAAACCTATAAAGTTTGCTAGGAAATATAAGGATGTATAAAGTAATCCCTTAAAGACTTGTAAAAGCAAAATTATATTTGCCCTATATGACCTGGCACTTTCGCTTGAATGGCCATGGCCTCTTCTAAATGGCAAGATTTAGAATATTTCTATTCTAGGCCCAGCACTACATAATATCTTAAGCAAGTTGTCTTTTCCCTAGGCCTGTGATCTGCTCTATAAAATAAAATATTTGCAAACATATCATTTCAAGGTCTTATGTAGATTTAGTAAAGGTTCATATAGACTTTGCACATTAGATTTACCACAGAAACCTTTATAAAATACAGATGCCTGGGCATTATCTCTAAAAATTCTAACTCGGTCAGTCTTTGAAGGGCTTAAGTATGGATGTATAGACAGGGTTGAGACCCATTGGCTCAAAAAACATGGTTCAGCCATGCTCAAAAGCCATCTTCCAAAAGCGTACGTTAACGTATTCAGGTGCTTACTGTTAAAGCTAAATGTTGATTACTAAGTTGATCATATTCAGATGTGTTCTGTTGACTTGATCAGTGTCATCAATGCTGCAGACACTGGGGAGGGATATTAGGAGGCCGCATGGACAAGAGTAGCCATAACTAGACTATGTAAGGGCTTCTTCCCATTTCACTGCTGCCTCTGAGCATACTGGTTCCTTAAGCTGCTAAATAAATATCACATCTCACTTGTTCCTTTTCTATGCCTATATCCTTAAAGCTAAGTAAGGCATTTCCTTATGCCCACACAGGTAAATCTTAGTCATTTTCACCTGCCCTTAGAAACTGTTCAGGCCCTGTACAGTAATCCCTTCAAGTTTTATGACTATCATTGAATCTTTGATATGAAACTTCAGAATTCTTACATTCTAGCTCCTCATACCTCTTCCAGAAATCAGAATGAAATCTACTGACTTCTGACTCTGTTTTGAGACCACACTAAGAGAAAAGCACCTGCCACCCTCCCAAACCTTTAGATGCTCAAATTCTGACAGCTGCCAACCAGAATGATCAGGCTAATTGCACCACCCCTTCCTGCTCTCAGAATTGGTAGAAGCTTACATTTTGGAGAGCAGTGCCACAGGGACTATTTGCGAACTTTGCAAAGCTGAGAAACTGGGAAGAAAAAATTCAGTCAAATTAATGATTTGAAGTGTTCCATAATGCTCTATTCTCCACTTGCTTTTTTTAAAAAAATAAATTTTCCGACTTTATTTTAACATGTTGCACAAAAAATTGCAACTATCTCCCATTAATTTGTTTGAACCTCATTGCTTAGTTGTTTTGGCAGGTGCAGTGATCATTGCAATTGTGAAACACAAGAATGTTCTATTTTGTTTTGTAAAGTAAGGCTCTGAATCTCAGTAATCAAAAATTTTTTAGGACTTGGAATGTACGTAGATATTTTCCTTGTCTCTTGGTAAGGACTATACTCTAATGTGTGACATGTAAATTACAGACTGAACCACTTCCCTACAACTGTGATTTCTCTCCTGATACTTTTTTTCTTTCTCTTTTCTTTATTTTTAAGTGAAGAAGCATATACTATACCTGTCAGATATCTTGGGAGAAAAACCTCAGTGTTAGTCAGTGATCAGGACTATTATTTGAGATAGTCATGAGGATGCTATGAGACTTATGGAGAATGATGGGGAGAAAATGAGAAGAATACTATGATACTCACTTCTCAGATTTGTACTCAACCTCAGAATGGATTGTGAAGTGCAAGCTTTAGCTGGCCAAATCCTACATGTGGAAGAGGGAAACCATCACAAAAAAAGACAATATGCACCAGCCTTCTTTGTAAATGCCAAGACATCAAGTTCATCCTTAAGTTAGGCCTTATTCAGAAATTATTCCAGTAACCATTTGTTCCCTCTGCCTATTGGCCACATTCTTGCCTCTAGACTTGCCTCTAGACTTGTGTACATCTTGCTTTTTCTGTCTGAAATGAGTGTAAATGTTCTCTTTTGAGAAATATGTTCCCCACCAGCCAATCCACAGTTACCCTGCTGTCTGTCATTTATACTGTACATCACTATCTAAAAGTCTCCCATTTACTCTGCCCTCTCCTTCAGAAACTAAGCTCTGGCCAGGAGTGGTGGCTCACGCCTGTAATCCAAGCACTTTGGGAGGCTGAAGCGGGCAGATCATCCAAGGTCAGGAGTTCAAGACCAGTCTGGCCAATTTGGTGAAACCCCATCTCTACTAGAAATCCAAAAATTTAGCCAGGCATGGTGGTGGGTGCTTGTAATGCCAGCTACTGGGGAGACTGAGGCAGGAGAATCACCTAAACCCGGGAGGCAGAGGTTGCAGTGAGCTGAGATCACGCCATTGAACTCCAGCATGAGCAATGAGAGCAAAACTCCGTAAAAAAGAAAAAGAGAAAGAAAAAGAAAAGAAGAAAGAAAAAGAAAGAGAGAAAGAAAGAAAGAAAAGAAAGAAAGAAAGGAAGGAAGGAAGGAAGGAAGGAAGGAAGGAAGGAAGGAAGGAAGGAAGGAAGGAAGGAAGGAAAAAGAAAAGAAAAGAAAGAGAGAGAGAGAAAGAAAAGAAAAAAAAAGAAAGAAAGAAACTATGGTCTGTGGGCATAGGCAAGGACTTGGCTGCTCCTGTTTTTAATACCTCTCAGTATGCACATCACCTACAATAGTACCTGAACCGTGGAACACAGTGAGTTCTCTGGTCTGAATATTTGTTCCCCTCCTCACCCCTACACACAATTCATATGCTGAAACCCAATCACCAATATAATTAGTATTAGAAAGTGGGGCCTTGGGAGGCAATAAGGTCATTCCTCATAAATAGAATTAGTGCCCTTATAAAAGATGTCCCAGAGAGATGCTTTATCCCTTCCGCCAATGTGAGGATGCAGAAAGAAGGTATCACTGTAAATGGAAAGCAGGCCCTCACTAGACACTCTATCTGCCAGCACCTTGATCTTGGACTTCTGAACCACTAGAACTGTGAGAAACAAATGTCTATCATTTGTAAACCACCTGGTCTATTGTATTTTGTTGCAGCTACCTAAATGGAGTAAGACAGTGAGTATTCATTGTTGAATAATGAAAACATGAATAGACCAAGGAAAGGAGGGAAAGAAATCAACAAGTGCAATCCTTTAGAATCTCCAAAACACGGAGATGTTGGCCCAGAGACAACCTAGGAATAATTGCAAAGCAGGGCATGTCTAAGAAACAACAATCCTGGCATGGCTGTGCAATTGAGACATACGGCCTTCCTTCCCTACCCACCATGCCAGCCCAGCAAAATGGCTGATCATGGTAGGCAGAATAACAGAACCCAAAAGACAGTCAGAGAGTAATGCCTCAGTCCCCAAAACCTGTGAATATGTTACCTTATGTGAGCCAAGGGGCTTTGGTGATGTGATTAGGTTAAGGATTTTGAGATGAGATTACCCAGGATTATCCAAGTGGCCCAATCTAATAATGTGAGCCATTAAAAGTGGAAAAGAAAGGCAGAAAAGTGAGCCCGAGATATAGTGTGTATGAAAGACTTCACCCACTATTGCTGTCTATGCAAGTGGAGAGAGAGAGGGCTAGGAGCCAAGAAATGCGGCTGACTTTAGAGGCAGGAAGTGGCCCCAAGTTTACAGCCAGCAAGAAAATGAGGACCTCGGTCCTACAGCCACAAGGAGCTGAGTTCTGTCAACCATCTGAATGACCAGGAAATGGATTCTTCCCTAGAACTTCCAAAGCAACATAACCTGTTGATAACTTGATTTTAGCCTGATGAGAACAATAATGAACTGACCTCCTGAACTGTAGGATTACAAATTTTATGTTGTTTTAAGCCACTACATTTGTGATAATTTGTAATAGTCTGATGAGAACCATCATTAACTGACCTCTAGAAATGTAAGATTATAAACTTTATGTTATTTTCAGCCACTAAATTTGTGATAATTTTTTATAACAGTAATAGAAAATGAATACACTGATTACAAAAGCCTTAGATCAGAAAAATATAGTAGAATGAAATGTAAGTACAACCAGTGTCCCCATATGGTGCAGTGTGTATACTTAGCACCTCACTCCACCCCTCTGCTGCCAAGATGTCTCTTAGGAAAAAAAAGAAAAAAGAAAAAAAAGAAAGAAACAGACCTGGATCGTTTAGCGTTCAACTTACAATGGCGCTGATCTTTCAGAGAACTGCTCCAACAAAATGGAGCAGTTCTATTATTGTTATAGTCAGGATTGATTTTATTCTATTATTCTATTCAGGATTGATTTTAAAGCACTGAAAGCATTTTAAAATATTGATGATTGTTTCATTAGCAGCAGTTATGCTACAACATCTCTTTATTCCACTGTGGCTAAGAGGGCTTTGCATCAGCCTGTGTGTGTGTGTGTGTGTGTGTGTGTGTGTGTGGGTGTGTGTGTGTTCCCTTTCTACTTATCTCTAAATTCCCATTGATTGTGGTTACTTGGAAGGCAATCATTTTCTTTCTTTAGTGAAGACAGCATAATATAGAGAAAAATCTTTAAATTTTTGTATAGGCTGTGCACTTAATCTATGTAATATACTAGTTGACAATATAAAAGCAATATTTTCTTTCTGTTTTTTAATTCAATTTTTACTTGAAATTACTATTGTTTCACATGCAGTTATAAGAAATAAAAAAAGCAATCTTATATACCCTTTACTCAGTTTACTCTGATGGTAGCACGTTGCAAAAGCTATAGTATAATATTACACCTAGGATATTGACATTAATACAGTTAGGATATACAGTATTTCCATAACCACAAAGATCTATCAATCATGTTGCCATTTTATATCCACATCCACTTCCCTTCTTCCCTACCTCTCCTTAGTTTCCAGCAATCATTAATCTGCTCTCCATTTCTAAAATTTTGTTTTCTACAAATGTTATATATATGTAAAATATATATACATATATTATATTTACATAATATATACAAATATTATATATCATTATATATTTACATAATATATACTATATTACATAGTATATATTTATATATACTATATTACATAGTATATATTTATATATACTATATTACATAGTATATATTTATATATAATATATGTTATTTATTATTATATATAATATATATTATACATTATATGTAATATATAATACATATGTAATATATGTAATATATATGTAATATATGTAATATACGTAATATATATAATATATATTTACATAATATATACATATATTTATATATGTTATTATATATTTGCAATTATATAACCACCTGGATTACTATTTTCACTCAGCATAATTTTCTGGAGATTCATCCATGTTATTTCATGTATTGATAGTTTGTTGTTGTTGTTTTTAATTGCTGAGTAATATTCCAAGGAATGGCTATACCAATTTGTTTAACTATATGCCAATGAGGGATGTCTTTGTTGTTTCTAGGTTTTGATTATTACAAGTAAAATGGCTATAAACATTGGAGTAAGAATATTTCACGGACAGGCTTAATTTCTCTGAGATAAATGCTCAGGAGTGCAACTGTGTGGTCGTATTCTTCTAGCATGTTTAGTTTTTTTATGAAATTGCCGAACTACTTCAGAGTGATTTTAATATTTTATATTCTTACCAGTAATGGATGAGTGACTCAATTTTTCCCACAACTTTGTCAACATTTGGTTGTGCAAATATTTTTAATTTTAGCCATTTTGAAAGGTATAAAATGAAATATCATTGTCGTTCTAACAAGAAACAACACAAAATTAAAACTTATCTAATAGTGATGTTGAACATCTTTTCCTGTGCTTATTTGCCATCTGTAAAAACTCTTCAGTGAAATGCCTGTTTATATCTTTAGCTCATGTTCTAGTTGGATTTTGTTTGTTTGTTTGTTTTTTGAGACAGAGTCTCACTCAGTTGCCCAGGCTGGAGTGCAGTGGCTCGATCTCCGCTCACTGCAAGCTCTGCCTCCTGTGTTCACGCCATTCGCCTGCCTCAGCCTCCGGAGTAGCTGGGACTACAGGCGCCCGCCACCACACCCAGCTAATTTTTTTGTATTTTTTTTTTTTTTTTTTTTTTTAGTAGAGATGGGATTTCACCGTGTTAGCCCGGATGGTTGCAATCTCCTGACCTCGTGATCCGCCCTCCTCGGCCTCCCAAAGTGCTGGGATTACAGGCGTGAGCCACCGTGCCTGGCAGTTTTTTTTTTTTTACAGTTGAGTTTTGAGAGGCTTTTAAAATATATTCTAGATGCTAGTCTTTTGTCAAGTATTTAATTTCCAGAAGTTTCCTCTTAGTATGTAGCGTAATAATGTCCCAGAAATTTTGATATGTTGTATCTTCATCTTCATTGAATTAGATGTATTTTTTAAATTTTCTTTGAGGTCCCCTCTTTGACCTATGGATTATTTAAATGGGTGTTGTTTAGTTTCCAAGTATTTGAATATATTCCTCTTATCTTTCTGTTCTTGATTTCCTTTTTGTTCCCATTGTAGTT
The DNA here is from genome assembly GCF_000001405.40 of Homo sapiens. Classification (NCBI taxonomy): domain Eukaryota; kingdom Metazoa; phylum Chordata; class Mammalia; order Primates; family Hominidae; genus Homo; species Homo sapiens. The sequence continues at coordinate 228,185,948 of NC_000002.12, read as the reverse complement.
GGAGGACACACTACATATATGATTTCAATTATTTTTAATTTATTGACATTTCCTTTTTGCCCCCAAATATGGTTTATCTTGGTGTATGTTCAATGGACACTTAAAAAAAGTGTTTTCTATTTTTAGGTGGCATATTCTATAAATGTCAATTTGATCCTTTTGGGTGATGGTGTTGCTGAGTCTTTCAGTAGTCTCAATAATTTTCTGACTAGTTGTTTTATCAACTGTTGAGAAAAAGTGGTTAAAGTCTTCAGATGTAATTTTGGATTTGTCTCTTTTTTTAGTTCTATTATTCTGTTGTTTTATATGTTTTGCAGCTCTGCTGTTTCTGTGTATACATTTAAAGTTGCTGTGTCTACTTGGTAGATTGACCCTCTTATTATTAAATAATCTCCCTCTCTGTCTCTGGTAATTTTCCTTGCTCTGGGGTCTATTGTATGTTATATAAATATAGCCACATGTGCTTTCTTTTAAATAATGTTTGCATAATATATCTTTTATCACACTTTTACTTTCAATCTTCCTATGGGGCTTTTGTTTGTTTGTTACAGAGAGCACATAATTGGGTCATATTTTTAATCCACACTGCCAATCTCTGTCTTTAAACCATTCTATTTAGACCCTTTACATTTAATGTACTCATTGGTACATTAAGCTCAAAATTGACAGGGTTTTATTTTGTTGTTTCTGTTTGTTTTCTCCTTTTTTGGTTTTATTTTGTTTCTGTTTGTTTTCTCCCTTTTTTGTTTTTGTTTCCTTTTTCCTCCTTTACTATGGGTTAAACATTTTTTAAAATCTTAAAATGATAAAAATCATTTAAATGATTAAAATAAAAAATTTTTTAAATCAATAAAACCAATTTGATTGATTTAACCTGTATTATTTTTGAGTATATCTATGTGCATAGCTTTATAATTTCTATGCATGTTATATATATGTGTATGTATGTATGTGTATATATGTATGTATATGTATATATAAATTTATAGTTTATTGGTGTTGTCAATTTGCCAGTTTGAGCAAAATGTGTAAACTTTACTTGTTACACCCTTTACCCTTCTCCCTTTAATATAATTGTCTTAAATGCTTTCTCTATATTTAGAAGCATATCAAAGTCATAATCTTTCCTTTGATTTTCAAATGTAGTTTAGGAAACTCAAAAGAAGAAATTCTGTTGTATCTTTCAAATTTTTCTTACTGTTTTCTTCTTTCCTGATATTCTAAGATGCCTGAAACTGTAAAGACAGTTTCATTGGTGTCTAGAGAATTTCCTTTAATCATTCTTTTAGGAGAGCTCTGCTGGAATTCTATACCATTTTCATCTTCATTTCTAATGAGTATTTTTATTAGACATAAGATTCTGTGTTCATAGTTGTCTTCCTCCACACCTGAAAAATGTTGTCAATTACTTCAGTCCTCCATGGCTTCTAGTGGGAAATCCACTGTTTTTGAACTATATTTCCCTTATGGGTAAAGTGATGTTTCTCTCCAACTAATAAAACAGTTTGTGTTTTATTTTGGTTACTGTATTTTTCACTTCTAAAATCTCCACTTAGTTTTTCTTTACATCTTCTACTTATATTTGCTTAGATATTTTAGGGGCTGACTTTCTATTTTTTTTATATTACTTATTAAATTATTTTTATCATGGCTGCTTTAAAATCTTTTGACAGATACATTTAACATCCCTGTCATTTCCATGTTATTTAGTATCAATTGATTGTTTTGTTTTGTGTTGATTCTCATTCAGATCTGATTCTTAATATGACAAATAATTTTCTATTAAAGGCTGCTTATTTGGGGCATTATGTTAGAACATTCTGAATTTTATTTAAAGAGCTGTTTTAGACGGATTCTCTTGACACTTCTCCTGTAAGGCAAGGAAAATAAGGGCAGCACTGCCTCATCACTACCAAGTGGGGTTAGAAGTCTGGGCTCCTCACTTGGCTTTTGTTGACACTTGAAAAACAGGTAGTGGCATTCATTACTGTGAAGCAAGGGTGGGTGGGAGTTCAGGGTCCTCACTAGGCCTGCACTGATATCTCTCTGGCTAAGAGTGGTAGGAGTACCCAGTTCCTGCTTCCCATGTGGCCTTCTGTGATTGGGAGTGGGGGGCAGGGGACACACACAGGGCCTTATTACTTCTGAACTATGGTTTTTGACTCTCCACAACAATTCCTCTGACACTGCTTCAGTGTAGAGTGGAAGTGGGGCGGGGCGGGGGGGGGGGGGTGCCGATTACTGCTCTGTGGATGTGAAAGTACAAGCTCCACTGATACCAAGGTGAAGAAGCGGTGCTGCTACTCCTTGTTAGGATTAAAAGTCCTGGATCCCATGGAACCAGCCCAAATGCCCATCAATCAACGAGTGGATAAAGAAATTCTGCTATACATATATATGATGGAATACTACTCAGTCATAAAAAGGAATGAATTAATGGCATTTTTAGCAATTTGGATGGAACACGAGACTATTATTCTTTGTGAAGTAACTCAGGAATGGAAAACCAAACATATGTTCTCGCTCGTAAGTGGGAGCTAAGCTGTGAGGATGCAAAGGCATAAGAATGCTACAATAGACTTTGGGGACTCAGGGGAAAGTGTGGGAAGGGGGTAAGTGATAAAAGACTGCAAATTGGGTTCAGGGTATACTGCTCAGGTAATGGGTGCACCAAAACCTCACAAATCACCACTAAAGAACTTAAGTAACCAAATACCACCTGCTCCCCAAAAATCTATGGAAATAAAAAATATTTTTTAAAAAGTCCTGGCTCCCTACTTTGCCTTAATGCCACCTGTATGTGTGGAATGGGAAGGGGACTTCATTATTTCTGTGTGGATGTGGAAGTTCAAGCTCTTCTTGGCACCATGACGGGGGAAACGAGACATGAAGAGGTGAGTGCGGCCAGTGTTTGGAGGGGATGAAAGTCCTGGTCCCTACTTAGTCTCCTCTGACACCACCTCGCCCAGGGGACTGACTTACATCCTTAGAGCCTACAGATGGTGAAATGTAGGCTCCCTACTTGGCCTTTGATGGTGTAGTTGAAAAAGGTCCACAGGTTTTTTCTCATGGTGTTTGGCCACAGTGGAGCTATTATTGTGTGTAAATTTTCCATCTTGCTAAGCTGCCTCTCTCCTGATCCTTTGGCTAGAAAGAGGAGTCCTTTGTCAAGGCTTTTCCTGTCTCTGCCCCTTGACATTTCCGGGTTGTCATCTTCTTCAGCCAAAGTCTGGGAGAACCTCAGGAACCCATCATCATGCCAAGCCTTGAGTCCCAGGATCTCTAGCTGGTCTGCATTCTTCTGTCCACCTTTTTCTCATGCCTGTTTCAGAGATAATATCCGGGGGATTTCGTTGTACTTACTAGGAGGAATAGCTAAAAGTACATTGGCTCAACCTTCCCATTTGTGGAAGTCCCAAATTTTATTTTTAATTTGTTTTTTAATTGGAAAAAGAAGCAGATTCAACAGCGCCCTCATTTTAGCAGATATTTGCTACTATCAGTGTCTTTCTTCTTAAGAAAACTGTCCTTTTTGCTCAGGGAGATACCCAGCCGTCAACTGGGGAAGTTTGTGACAGCTCTCCCTCCCAGGTTCTGAGTGCTGTCCTCGGATGGATGGCCGCTCTCATAGGTTTTGAGATTTCTATGTGCGCACACGGTTCTAACAGAAGAGAGAGAAGACTAAGTCACAGTTAAGCAAAATGAGTTAAAGAAACGTGAAAACCAAAACCAAGAGAGAAAGTCCAAATAAAGGGAAAAGACTTAGGAGGTCAAAGCCAGCATCGTTCTGAGTGATCGACCATAACATGGTAGACCACAAACAAAAATGAAATCGACACAGGAAGCCAGAGGAGTGGCGCGCAACCAGTGGGGAGTGTCGGCATTGCCAGGAGTGAGGGCGTGAATGTGGGAAAGTGCGTGAACAACTTCAGGGCTCAGACCTACTGTACGCCAGCGAGAAAGGGAGGGGAGACGATGGTGGTTGGGGAGAGAGGAATTTTGTCGGAGTCACCTATGCTTCTGGGCACGAATGAGCGATAGAGCAGGATCCTCGAGCAACTGAGACTGGGGCCCGCCTGCAGGAGGCAGGAGCCAGGCAGAAAGGTGGGAGCGTTGGCCACGCGCTCCTGCAAGATCAGAGAGGACGGCGGGAGGGGACAGCGGGCGGTCGCAGCGCACAGAGCTTGCTGGCCAGGGAGGAGCTAGTCTCCGTGGGCGCCGCCGCCGCCCCAGCCTGCGCGCCTCTCTCCTGGCGCGCGCCAGTCTGGCACTCTGGGAGCTGGGTCCTAGCACCACAGACTTATCCTTCGCCTGCACTTTCCGTCTTTCTTCTCTGGGCGCCCACCAACAATGGATGGCAACTCCCTGCTCTCGGTACCAAGGTAAGACCCGCTTCTTTCTATGCCCAATACCATGTCGATCAAACTCCGTTCCGCGTTGTGAGTCGCTCACCAACTTGCCCCAGAGCGCTTCGGTTTGCACGGGGCTCCCAGCGAGGAGACAGGGGTCACTGCACTTGTAAATAAGTCCGGCCCAGCCTCGCTGGAGCTACAGGGGACCCTGTCAACTGCCCCACAGGGCGCGATGCTGAGTGGGGCCTGTGCGCTGGAGTGGCACGGGTTGGGGGTCAGCCCCGTGCCCGCCTCTAAGGCCCAGGGACGGAGGTCTGCTCTGCCCTAGGTGGAGCCAGGAGCCGGACTTTCCGCGGACACAGCTTGGAGAGGTTTCACACCTTGTGGAGAGACAGATTCCAAGGTCTAAAACAGGAGGGAACCGGGCTAGGGCAAAGTACCCCCGCTTTCCTTCCACCTTGACCTGGGCGGGTGTCTGGGGCTGCTGGGGTGGGGAAGATTGTCCCTCACCCCCGACCGACACCTAGACTGCCCCCAAAGCGAGATCTTAAGACAGGGCAGAAAACACCTAGGTCCCCTGCAGTCCCACAGTCCTCCACCGTCCCCACACCCCCTGCCAGTCTGCGAGTTCCTTCTTTAACACCTTTGGTTTTGCTCGTCCCCCACACCGGGGTAGGTCACGGACGCCACCCCAGGCGCTGCCGGGTGCGAGTAACGTGTTTTTCGGGGTGTGTTTCTTTCTCCTGTCTCTTTTTTGCCCCTGTTCCACACTCCTTCTAACTCAGTCCTTTGCGAAATTAAGAACCTGAGATTTTTATGTCTTTCCCATAAATGTCTGGGTAAATCGGGGCGGTGGTGCTGGGCCTGCTCCCCCAGCCGGGCAGGTGGCCTTTGCGCTCTTTGCGCTCGCTGGGCGCGGAGCGCTCGCGCCGGGAGCCAAGGATGCTGTTGCTCCCAGGGAGAGGGTGTCCTGGCTGCGGCGCAGCCCCACCTCTCCTGGGCAGCGGCTTAGCGTGGCTCTTCGTGCCATCCCTACTCCCTCTTTTCCCCAAGCAGGTAGGTAGGTAGCTTCCAGAGCAGAGCACCAGGCCCTAGAATAAACACTTTAAGTTCGGATTCTTGGAGAGCAGCAAAACCCAATATCCACTGGCCAGGGCACACATGGAGTGATACTACATTGCCAAGGAGCCGAGATGCGGTGGGAGGGGAGGTGGGGGTGGCGGAGGAGGAGAGAGACTGCTTTCCAAAGGCATTGAAGGCTGCCATCTAGAGACCTGAATTATTTGTATTCCGCGATGAAATAACGCTTTCTCAGCTCCACAGGCACTTCCTCCTTAAGCGTCCCTTCGCTGCGGGGATAGCAAATGGTTCAGAAAAGGCCCGCTGTGGTTTCTGTGCACTCCTTGAAGCAGCTCTTAAGTGAAGTCTCAATCCCCACCCTCCCGATCCCTGCCCCAGCGGAACAGGGTCAAAGGACCACCGCTGTCTTTCCATTTTGCCGATTTTTTAACTTAAAAAAAATTGCCAGTGATGTTTACGCAAAGGCATTAAGGTGTTTGGAAAGTCATGTAAATTGGAAGCTCACTTTCTCCACCTATCTATTCTACTGTCTAGGGCAAATGGTCATTAGAATTGAAACGGTGAATTGGGTGGTCCTAATAATCTTCCGACAGAGATTTTTGATAACAGATTGATTGCTTTAATCCGGTTTTACAGACCAATATAGCTGCGCCTGAATCCTGATTATATTTCTATTCAAATACCGGAACATTTTCTAAATTACTAGAAACACATTGTGCCAGTAATTTATTACAATTATTTCTGTCTCAGTACTATAAAATGACCTTATAAAGAGCAAAGCAACTCTGATGATATTGCTCTGTATCTTGTAGTGGCCTATCAAAATGTTAATATAGGCTTAATATCAGCTGCAGCAAACTAAGCTTTTTGAACCTGACTTTTTATTCACCAATTTCCACAAATCAGTGTAGTAATTTCCGGTATTTTATTAGCCTTCTTAATCCACAAATCAGTGTAGTAATTTCGGGTATTTTATTAGCATTCTTAATCATGTAAATTAACTCCTGTACATGAGTTGATTCAATCCTCTATTTCATTGTATACAAGAAACACCATTCCTTTTCTATAAGACTTAATTGAAAGCCATAGGGATTGGGATGCAAAAAGAAAATTAAAATTTTTAATGGTGTAGACAAATCATGTATTAGTCATGCTACTTGTTCACAAAACATTGCATTTTAAAGAATTGATTATTGAATATTCCACATAAGCTTTTCGAAGAAACCAACAATGATCAGCAAATATCAAATTGCTATTGTCAAGGCTTGTGATGTCCAAGTCTGAAAACATTTTTGGTATCTAATAAAATTAAGTTGGTGGTTATAAATCACTGTTTCTCTTAAGAATTAGAAAACAATTTAAGACATTCTACTTAATCATTAGAGAAAACAAAATGATTTAATAACATTGAGTTAATTATAGAATATATTTTATGTTGGCTTTTCCATTTTCTTAGAATTTTCAATTAAACACAAATATAAATTACTGAAATTTCAATCAAGCAATATTCTGTGATGATTGATATTAAAACTAAATTTGACTCATATACTTCAGAAACTGTAAAACATGTTTTTTTTTTTTAAGGAAATGTTTTGGGTTCTTTGAGTTATTAAACTGTATTCCCTTCCTTCTGTGAAAACTCTAATTCATTTTTACTATGAATATTTTCATTTTTAAAGGTGCAGTAAATTATGTGGATTGCGTCACAGATTTCTTAAAATCACTGGTTATCAAAGCTGGAAGATATCGTCCATAAGGAAACCAAGCTGTGCAGAGATTAAATGTTTCCATGTTAGTTGCGTTATAGACCTGGAATCCAAGTGTTTTCTGACTAGTAGTCCATCAAGAAAAAAAAAATTTAAGAGGGATTTTTTTTTAATCTAAAATCGCTGATAGAGGTTCTTTAGTCATCTATTTTATGGAAAATTGATTTGATTTGCTAAGTCGCAAAATTAGATATTAGAAAAACAAAAAAAGAATCAAAGGACATCCATCCAGTGTGTTCTATAGTACACTGTATTACAATGCAGTAGTTTCCACTTACAGAAAAAAAGTCAGTCTCACTTTTATATTGGTAACTAGCGTGTGTTTCGTAAGGTGTTATCAAGTGTTATCTAATATATTAAATTATTTGATCATCACATCCTTGTGAGTCAATCATGACAGATATTATCATCTCCATTTCCTAGCTGAAAACTCTGAAGCCAAAGGAAATTAAATAAAGGAAATAATTGTATTTAAAAATCCATATAAATTCTATGTAGCAGAGCTAGGTCATCCACAAAATTTTTCTGCCTTCAAGTCCAGTTTTCTCTTGTGTACTGATTGAAAATCCATACTTTATTTTAAATGGAAGGAAAAAGAATTTCTGGTACACAATTTGGACAAACACTGATACCATCAGAACACATGGGGGCAGCCTAAAAGCAAGGAGACCATCTTTTAAAGCCAACAAGTGCTAAAAATAATCTTTTTTAGCAAATAGAAATAGTTTGTCACCTTGGCCATATCTAAGCTTGAATTTGAATGTTAAGAGAGTTCCCTGTTTTCTAAACATTTGCATTGTTATACTGTACTGTTTTGTTCTTTTTGCTTGGTTTACTGGATTCTATTTTAATAATAAAATTTTTATATGGCATTTCGAATGATAAGATCAAAACTCATCAAATGTAAACTTTTGAAAAAACTAGATTGATTTTCTCCATGTGTAATAATGTATATAGGCTTCCTGTCATTTTGTTTTAACCAATCTAAAGTTTAATGCAGACACATTTCACTAAAACTCATCAGAATCTCAAGATTTTACCCCTCAGTATGTTAGTTCCAGGAAAAATAAAATTGATTTTTTAAAATGGAACAAACAACCCAATACTGTATACTGGACTATGATCTTCCATCACCAAGTTTTTATAGAAAGGTTAACTGATTTTAGATTTGCACAAAAGGAGATATTTAAGAGTATATTTAAATTTCTTTGTCCTATTTATGAAAAACTTTCAGAAAAGATTAATCCATTACTCTTAAGTTGAGGAACAGGGACAAGTACGAAATACTGCCTTAAGAGTACACTTAACTTCATTCTCTGTCTTGGAATACATACTGTCCTCAAGGCCAGCACTGAGCTGTGGGCACATTCCCCAAGTCTCACTCTCTTCTCAGGGTAACACTGCCCAAGAGGTACAATTTCCTATAGAGAAAGGAACTAGGAATTAGAAAGTCCTGGTGCCTCAAACTCTGAGAGTCCACGTTGTTGCTGGGTTGTGGATAGTTGGTTAAGAGACTGGAATTCTGAAGGCAATTCCCAACAGAAAAAAAAAAAAAGGCTTAAAAGACCAACATTAAAACTACACTTCAGATACTGGCAAGTTTTATGGGCCCTTGCTCCATGATCTTGTAAATGGGTCCTTACTCCATGATCTTGTAAATGGGTCCTTACAATCATCTCATAAATGAATGATTAGGATATATTTTGTTTTACAAGTGGTCTCCTTTGGCTAGTGCTACTCATTTGAACTGAGTTTTTTCTTGGTGTTACAGAGTTACAGCTACAAATAATTGTAAGGAGGGGAAGAGGAAACAGTGATGTATTGTATTTGGTTTTTTGTTTTGTTGTTTTGTATTTTGTTTTTGTTTTTGTTTTTGAGACGGAGTTTCGCTCTTGTTGCCCAGGCTGGAGTGCAATGGCGCGATCTCTGCTCACTGCAACCTCCACCTCCCTCCGGGATTTGAGCGATTCTCCCGCCTCAGCCTCCCAAGTAGCTGGGATTACAGGCATGCGCCACCACGCCCGGCTAATTTTGTATTTTTAGTAGAGACGGGATTTCACCATGTTGGTCAGGCTAGTCTAAAACTGATCTCAGGTGACCCACCTGCCCTGGCCTCCCGAAGTGTTGGGATTACAGGCGTGAGCCACGTGCCCAGCCCTGTATTTGATATTTGGAGACCTGGTGCTTAGTCCTGTTCTGAAATTAATGGCTGAGACTGTCTGGGCAAGTTACCTGACCTGTTGCTTCTCTGCCTCCTCCTGGATGTGCTGACGTCCAGGATATACTTATCTTCTATGGATATACTTGGATATACTTATCTTCTATGTCACTCCTACTTTAGTCTTCTATAATGCCACAACCTGTATTGTAGCAGGGACTCTCCCTTGGGTATGATACAGATAAATGTCTTACTCTCTTGAAAGAGGTGGGTGAAATCAAGGCCTTTAAAAGAACTGAAGCAATACCCACCCATCCAAAAGAAAGCTTGTCTTCGAGAATTGGGCTTTATTGTTTTTAATGTTCCCCCAGAGGTGGAAAGCAGCATTATACTTACAGAAACTCTTTTGTAAAGAAGATAGCACGGTAATTAAGATCCCGGTTCTGTCACATATTAGTGATTGGTTATCCACTCTGGGGCAAAATGCTTACCTACTCTGTGCTTTATTTTCATCATCTGGGAAATGCGAAAACTACTTCAAACATTTGAAAAGGATGTGAGGCTTGAGACAGTATTATGAAGTACAAGAAATACTGAGTCTTTAGCCATTGCTTCCCATCATGCTGAATGAACTCCTCTAAATATGATGGTTTCATGATAGATTTTTTAAGTTAATACTGGTGAATAGCTCACATAACTCAGAGATAAAGTTGACTTTATCTGATATTAGCATAGATATCCTGTCTTCCTTTTGGCTTATTTTTTTTCTATCTTTTTAAAAAAATCTATCTATCTCTTCAAATCTAAGTTGTTTCTTATAGATAGGGTATTGTATCTTACCTTTTTATCTCATCTAAAAATCTCTTTTTTTAATTGATGTGTTAAGACCATTCGCATTTGTTAAGATTGTAGATAGGGATAAATTAACTAGCTATTTTCTATTTGTGTCATATGTTTTTTATTCCTTTTTAAAACTTCTGCTCTGCTTTGCATTAAATGAGAACTTGTTTGTGATTCTGTTTTACTTTCTTTATTGATTCATTATTTATCTTTTGTTTAAAAGTGTGTGGTTGCTCCAGGATTTAGATGTTTTTTATTAAGCAGAATCTACCTTCAAATTTTAACATACCACTTCACATCCAGTGTGAGGTTTTTACAAGTATACATTCCAAATTATCTCCTCTGATCTTTTGTGCTAATATCATCACATATTTTATTTTTACAAATGTCATAAACACACTATATATTTTGCTTTAAATCATCAGATATTTTTAGAATAATTAGAAATATGAAAAAAAACCTTCATTTATTCCATTTCTGACATTTCATTTGCATAGATCCAAGTTTCTGCCTAGTATTAACTTCTCTTCTATCCAAAGAGCTTCTTGGATCTGTGACTTCATGCTTATTAATTCCGAAAAAAAATTCAGCCATAATTTCTTAAAATAGTTTTCCTATCCTGTTCTGCTTTTCTCTTTTCCTTCTAGAATTTTAATTGCATATATATTAGAATACAGCTCTTGGATATTCTTTTATAATTTTGTTTTTGTTTCCTTTATTTTTCCTTTTTTTTTTTTTTCAGATGGATAATTTGTATTGACCTATCTTTAAGCTCATTGATTCTTTCCTTGGCTAAGTTCATTCTACTGATATATTTATCAGAGGCATTCTTCATCTGGTTACCATGTTTTACATTTTTAGCATTTCCATTTAGCATTTAGTTTTACCTTACAGTTCTTATCTCTCTGCTGTAACTAATCATGCGAGCTTGCATGCCATCTGCCTTTTCCATCAGAACCATTTAAATTATAATCATGATTTGTAATTCCCTGCCATATAGTTCCAACATCTCTGCCATACCTAGGTCTGGTTCTGTTGGTTGCTTCATCCCTTGGAAGTGTTTTTCTATTTTCCTTGCTTTTCAACAGGGCTGGTAATTTTTTGTTGAAAGCCAAAAATCTTGTGTAAAATAATAGTATCTCCAAATGGAAACTGGAAGTCAGCGTCATATTCCCATGTTAAAGACGAGGAACGAAGACTGAGAAAAGTTAAACGACTTGTCAAAGTTTACTCATGTAGTGAGTGACCGAGCCAGAACTTGGTCTCTAGGATTTCAAACTCAAAGTCTAATGTTAACTCCATCACTGTTCCTCTCAGTTTTCTAATGCCAGTACATTTCCACTCCGGAGTCCTTCAAGACCTTCTCATGCCACATAGCTTTGTTTATTTCAGACATTTTTCACCCCAAATTCTGAGAACGTCATTGAAGCATATGAGAAAAAAAAAAAAGGTTCCTGCCTATGTTTATCTTACTATGTAATCTCAAGATATCACTTTCTTTCTGAATATCTTTTGATTCAGTCTTTCTCAAAATACGGTCTCTGAATTAAAAGCAGCTACAAAGATGGGTGGATGCTATAAGAGGCTTTGACACAGCCACAGGAAGCAATGGAAACACAGGGAGTGACAGCCAACAAAGTTTAGCATGTGAATTAGAAAGTTTGTATCTGTTCCCAATAGAGCTAAGAATTCAGACACTAAAGCCTCTACCTGCACACCAAGCCACATTTCTCCTTAAGGTAGAAGAGGTGACATATTCTGCCACATGGATTAACAGAGTTTTTCTCCAAAGAAAATAACAATAACATGCAGACCAATGTGCCTCCTTTTATTCCTTTTAACTACATATTACAGAGCCAAATTATTGAAATAGTGTATGAACTTGTTAGAGTAGCCATGGTTTTTGAAGTACAAGTTAGTTCAAAAAACATAAAGGCATCGTATTGCTTTTCTATTGCTGCTTTTTAAAATTGTCAGAAAATGAGTGGCTTAAAACAATACATTTATCATCTCACAGTTCTGTAGGTCAGAAGTCTGACATGGATCTCACTGGGATAAAATCAAGGTGCCGCCAGGGCTGCATTCCTTTCTGGAGGTTTCGCAGGAGAAATGGTCTTATTGCTATTTCCAGCTCCCGGAGGCTGCTTACATTGCTTGCCTCATGACCACCTTTCTCCATCTACAAAGCTAGCAATGGAGGGTTGAGTCCTTTTCTCCCATCACACCATCTGACTTCTGACCTCCTTTTCTGCCTCCCTCCTTCAATTTTAATAAACCTTGTGATTACATCAGGTCACCTAGATAATCCAGCATAATCTTTATATTAAGATCAGCTGGCTAGTAAACTTAATTCCATCTTGAACCTTGATTTTGCTTTGTCATACAATGTCACATATACTACAGATTTCAGGAATTAAGATATGGATATCTTTGAGGGAGTTAATTATTCAGTCTACCATAGGCATTAATTGAACAAAAAACTGATCTTTCTGGCCATCAAATGACACATGAAATTCTACTAGGACTAATTTCTTTCTTGTTTCTTTCTCCTTGTTTCCTTCTTTCTTTCTTTATTAAATAAAAAGGAAGAGGGACAAGGCTATTTGTTCCTCCTCTGCCATACGTGAGTCATTCAGTGTGCCTGAGCTGAAACAACTAAAGATTATTCAAGAACATAAAACCAGATCAGGATGGACCTGGAAACCCTACCAAATTCACTCTTTGGCACATGTTTATTGCAGTGGTCATTAATGCTATTCAGCAAGTTTTCCAATTGTACTTCTAAGCATAGGGCAGGATTGTACTTGCTCTTCTTGATATAAGACATAGTGACATAATATGATTTGGCCAATGCAAAGTGCACAGAAGGGATATGTGTCTCTTCCAGTGTAAGTGTTAAAGATCTCATGTGTGACTTGCTTCATTTCTCTTACTTTCTGCCATGGTGACTAACAGATTTCAGGTTGTGGCTGTTCCAACAGCCTGAGTTTCAGAATGAGGTTGAATTGGAGCAGAGCCCCAAGCCAGTCCATGATGGACATGTAGCATGAGTAAGAAATGTAAATAAGGCTTTGTGGTCTTAATCCCCTGGGGTTTTGGAATTGTGTGATATTGTAGTATAACCTAGCCCATCCTGCCTGACCCAGCTACCCTCAGGGTTGAAATGGTGGGTGATCAGATAGGCTTTGCATTGGCTTGTGAAGATTTCCAAAGGATCTCACAGAACTCTTTTTGCTCTAGACTTCCAAAGACCCTTATCACTACCTAACAACATATTCCTGGATGTATTGATATGACGATGAAGTTGGAAGAAGGGAGAAATGAGTCTCACCCTGACCAGTTGTGCAAGTAGTCAGGAGGTATGTCCTATGGACCAGCTCCAGATAATAACAATAAATACCATGGCCTGTAGGCTTCTCCTAGAGACATGGAGTGTGAACTGGGAATCATACTTATCCTGTTATCAATTCACACATTGCCCATTTCATAGTCCACAATCTAGCTGCTGCTATTTAGGGATGGAATGGTGTTGTATCATATGCTTTTAACTCTTGCAAATACGGTGCTACATTATCATTTTCCTTTTTTTATTCTTTCATTTCTCTTTCATCCTCATATGATTAAAAATATAGTAAACATATTTAACTTGTACATTTATTATATATTATACATTCTTAAATAGGATATACACACACACAACTTTATAAGATTTTTTCACAAAATCCAACATACCATAATTTATAAGCCTCTTAAGAGATTTTCAAAGGTTATTTTGACTCCAAAAATTTTCAAGATAAACAATGACATTAGATGCTAAATCTCATGTTAGATGCATCTGTGCTAGGACTTCAGGGGTTGACAAAACACTGATTTTGGTAGCATGTCAATAGGAGTAAGAAGATTCAAGAGTCAATTGTCAGTCAACATTTATTGAGCAGACACTCTCTCCTGACACCTTCAAGACTCTCAATGGAGTAAGAAAGACCCAGTTCCTGCCTTCCTTACATTAACAGTGTGTGGGTCCAATTACACAGTGAGTACAGCTGGGGCCACAAATCAAAGGATGTAAAGAGACATGCTAGGAAGTAGATACCCAGTACACCAGGAAGTTGATACTCATTCCACTCTGAAATTAACTTTTCATTTCTTGTGATCTCTCGCAAATGAACCAAACTGATCAGTCCTTCTCTTATTTAATTCTTAGGAGAATTTGACATAATTGACAGGTGACCCCTAACTTAAAACTATTTCTTCCTAAGAAGAGACTCACCTATACAATATAAGCAAACTTATAAAAAGGCAAACTTGGCTTTTTAAATAGCAAGTGCTATTCTCTATGTTGGGAAAATGGGAACCCATTGGATGTGGGATATTAGAATTACAAAGGACTTGAGTGCAGGTCATCTTGCCCAGTCCCCTTCCTTTACAGATGAAGAAACCAAAGTCAAGAAAAGTTAAAGGAATTACTCAAATCACACAAATATTTAGAAGTTAAGCCAAGAATAAAATGATATGCAACAGATTGTACTTAAGACTGCACTGGATTTACTAAAAATAATAATAATAAATCTCCAAAACAAAATTGGAAGCACTTGAAATGTTCTGGTACAGAAAAACATGTCTATCATCCACGTCTAAATACCTTCTTTACTTTTCCATAAGAAAAAATAATGTCTATACAATTTCTCACCTCCTTATTTCACTTCAGCTGCCAGAAGTCCTAGAAACAAATTCAAAGCTCAATTATAACAGCAGTGTAGAAGTTTATGACCTGAGTATCTGTGTTGTTGTTAACCATGATATTGACCTCTTATTATAATTTCTAGTATTCTTAACTCTGAGTTCTAACTTGTGTTTTTCCGCTTTATTGCATATACCTTTTCTGTTAACTATCACAAATTCCTAGAGAAACAAGATGGAAAGGAGATATACCCCAGCGATATGGTAGGCTTGGTTCCAGAAAAATACAATAAAGTAAATATCATAATGAAGTAAGGCACAAAATTTTTTTGGTTTTCCAAGGGATTCAAAAGTTATGTGTACTTTATAGCATAGTATATAAAGTGTGTGATAGTATTATGTGTAAAACCATAATGTACATATCTTAATTTAAAAAAACTATATTAAAAAAGTGGTAATGATCATCTGAACCTTCAGAGAGTTATGATCTTTTGCTAGTGGTGGGTCTTGCCTTGACGTTGATGGCTGCCAACTAATCAGGGTGATTGTTGCTGAATATTGGGGTGGCTGTGCAAACTTCTTTAAATAAGAAAACAAAAATGCTTGCTCCACAGATTGACTCTGCTTTTCATGAAAAACTCCTCTGTAGCATACTATGCTGTTTGATAGCATTTTGCCCATAGTAGAACTTTCAAAATTAGAATCAATCCTCACAATCTCTGTCACTGCTTTATCAGTTAAGTTTATGCATTTAGAATACCTTATCAAATTAAGTTTTCTAAACTCTTTGTGGTCATTTCAACAATGTTCACAGCATCTTCACCAGGAGTAGGCTCCATCGCAAACAAACAAACAAAAAAATTTATTTGCTCATCCATAAGAAGCACTTCCTCATTTGTTCAAGTTTTATCATGAGATTGCAGCAATTAAGTCATATCTTCAGACTCCATTTTTAATTCTAGTTCTTACTATTTCTATCAAATTTGCAATTACTTTAGCCACTGAAGCCTTGAACCCCTCAATGTCATCCATGAAAGTTGAAATCAACATCTTCCAGACTCTCATTAATGTTGATATTTCGGCCTCCTCATGAATCATGAATGTTCATAATAGCATCTAGAATGCTGAATTATTTCCAGAAGATTTTTAATTTACTTTGCCCAGATCCATCAGAGGAATCACTATGTATGGCAACTATACCCTTGTAATTTTTTTTAATTTTCAAAAATATGGAATTCTTCAAGAATTTTCATGTCATTCCTGTGCTGGGCCCATGCTAATCTTCTCTGTATCATTCTAATTTTAATAAACATGCTGTGTAAGCAAGCACAAAATGTACTTTTTAAATCATAAGACTTGAAAATCGAAATTACTCCTTGATCCTTGGGCTACAGAATGGATGTTATGTAAGCAGGCATAAAAACAACATTAATTTTCTTCTACAACTTCATCAGAGCTCTTGGGTGACAAGGTACATTGTCAATGAGCAGTAACATTTTGCAAGAAATATTTTTCTAAGCAACAGGTCTCAGTGGGCTTAAAATAAACAGCAAACTGTGCTGTAAACAGACATGCTATCATCCAGGCTTTGTTCCATTTACAGAGCACAGGCAGAGTAGATTTATCATAAATCTTAAGGGCCCTAGGATTTTTGGAACAGTAAATGAGCATTAGCTTCCAGTTAAAGTCACCAGCTGCATTAGCACTTAAAAAGTGAGTCAGCTTGTCTTCTGAAGCTTTGAAGCCGGGCATTGACTTCTCCTCTCTAGCTATGAAAGTCCTAGATGGCATCTTGTTCTAATGTAAGGATTTTTCATTTACATTGAAAATCTGTTGTTTATTGAAGCCACCTTCATCAATAATCTTTGCTAAATATTCTGGATAGTTTTCTGCAGCTTCTCCATCAGCACTTGCTGCTTGACTTTGCACTTCTATATATGGAGACAGTTTCTTTCGTTAAACCTCATGAACCAACCTCTGCTGGCTTCAAACTTTTCTTCTGCAGCTTCCTCACCTCTTCCAAACTTCATAGAATTGAAGAGAGTGAGGGCCTTGCTCTGGATTAGGCTTTGCCTTAAGGGAATGTTGTGGTTGGCTTGATTGTATGTCCAGAACACTCAGACTTTCTCCATATCAGCAATTAGGCTGTTTCTTTTTCTTATCATTCGTATATTCCCTGGATTATCACTTTTAATTTCCTTCAAGCACTTTTTCCTTTGCATTCACAATGTGGCTAACTGCTTGATGCAAGAGGGCTAGCTTTTGGCCTGTCTCAGCTTTCAATATCCCTTCCTCACTTCATCATACCCAGTTTTAGATGTAAGGTGAGATATGTGTGACTTTTCCTTTCATTTGAAGATCTACAGGCCATTTCAGAGTCATTAACTGGTCTGACATCAATATTATTTTGTCTTGGAGAATAGAGAGACCCAAGGAGAGGAAAAAAGAAGGGGTAACTTCCAGTCAGTGGAACAACAATCAGACAACCATTTGTCGATTAAGTTTGCCTTCTTGTATAGCCATGGTGTGTGGTGCCCCAAAATAATCACAATAGTAACATCAAAGATCACTAATCACAGATCACCATAATAGCTGTAATATTAATAATGACAAATTTTAAAATATTGCAAGAATTTTCAAAACGTAACACACAGACATTAAGGGAACACATGTTGTTTGGAAAAATGATGCCAATAGGATTACTGGATGCACAATTTCAACAAACCTTCCATTTATAACACAGTATCTGCAGAGCATAGTAAAGTGCAGTAAAATGAGGTCTGTCTATATCCATTATTAAATCAATTAGTCTATAGAGCAATCATTTTCTTTAAAACAACAGAAAAAATAATTTTCTTGTGGCAAGTTGGAGCTCATAAAATTATGGTCTATTCATATTTAATTTGCCTTTCATGATAAACTGTATATAAAAAGTTGTAAGTAGTTTCTTTGAAATGATTAGTGCATTAAAGTAAATCAGCTGTTTTAAAATAAATATATAATAAGATAGAATGCTAAAGTTTTGTTAGATATTTTCCTAAATTATTCGTTAAGTGTAATATTACATATACATTTTAAATATGTGTGCATATATATCAGTGTATACTAAAGGTATTCATGTATGAG
This sequence comes from Homo sapiens, assembly GCF_000001405.40. Classification (NCBI taxonomy): domain Eukaryota; kingdom Metazoa; phylum Chordata; class Mammalia; order Primates; family Hominidae; genus Homo; species Homo sapiens. The sequence continues at coordinate 228,167,946 of NC_000002.12, read as the reverse complement.
CATGTCTTTTTCAGTTGGTACATTTTATACTTTAGTGTATTTTTCTCAGATATTACAATGAATTAAATCATACAGTAGAAACTTTAAAATATTTAGTACTGCTGCCAAAGATACTAAGAGAATTGATTATTTCCTTTCTATATACTTCAGTGTTAATGTAAGTTACATAACATACCTTATTTCTTTTTGTCCTACAAGCCTATAATTTTGAACTAAGAACATAAAAAGAATTCAGTAAATTACTTTTGGTAGACTGCGTATACGAATAGACTTACCCACTTATTTTCACCTGAATACATAATTCTTCCACTTAATTTACATAGAAAAATGCATTAAAGAATTTATCTGGGTAATTCAAACCAAAAATAAAACTCAGATAAAAATAAATTAAGAACCCATTGAAGTCATTTTTCTCTAAGCAAAATCTTGGCCCCATATAATGTGTTCATTGCTGACTCATGGATTTAATATATCCTGAATATTTTTAATTTTTACTTCAACTTTTTAAATAAATGAATCAACAGTGCTTCAATATAGTGATTAAAAAGGTACGTTGACTTCACTTGTGTTAATTATCAGTAGATCGGTGATCTGATCTGGCATTCTGTTACACTATTAGTATTTCTGTCTTTGCAAACGTGAAAAAAAATGTGGTGACTTCATGAGAATCAGGTAATATAGAAAATTAGCTGCAGTTTCATCACATGGATCGTTATAAAAAGTATCCAAGAAAGAGATTCACTATTCAGAGAACATCCTAACTAGAGAAGTTGTTATCACAATTGATATAGTTTGGATGTATGTCCCCACCCAAACCTCCTGCTGAAATTTAACCCTCAGTGTTGGAGGTGAGGCCTGGTGGGAAGTGATTGGATCATGGGGCCGGGTTTTTCATGAATGGTTTAGCACCATCCTCTTGGTGCTGTCCTCGTGATAGTGAGTTCTCCCAAAATCTGGTTGTGTGAAAGTGTATGGCACCCTCCCCTCTCTCTCTGGATCCTGCTCTCACCATGTGTTGTGCTAGCTCCCACTTTGCTTTCTGCCATGACTGTAAACTTCCAGAAAACTTTCTGGAAGCACATGCCAGTTCTATGCTTCCTGTACATCCCGCAGAACTGTGAGCCAATTAAACCTGCTTTCTTTATAAATCACTAGGTCTCAGGTATTTCTTCATAGCAATGCAAGAATGATACAATAACCATAATAACACTCAGCTCTTATAGATCATAGTCATTCATCATGCAGAAGAAATGTGTGAAAATATTAATGATAACATTTTCCTCAGTATTTCTATTGTGTCAAAGACATTTTCCACAGGATAAATAAGAACATATATAAAGAATGAGGCAGGAAAGGAGAAGATATGATACAAGTTTTAACCTTGAAAATTAATTATATAAGACTGGCATGAATGATTGAGAGTGGGCAAAAAATCAGGGGAACAGCTTACTTAACTTATTTGAAAGGAAGAGATAAAACCTAGTGACTTGAATTTAGTCTTCATTATGTGTGGGCGCATAAAACTTGGAAAAAGGCATGTGAAGTAAATTTACTACAAGGAGGTCTAGGTGTCATACTAAATGTTGAACAAGGTTAATATGTTTGGGCATTTCTCTTTCAAAATAATATAAGGGAAATTAGTTCATTTTGTCAATAGTTTTTAAGTAAATATGAATTATGTAATAAACAATGAATTAGGTGTTGATTAATAGATCATAATTTTCCCTTCAAAATTGTATGTAAACATGGCCCTTGTGTCACAAGATCATAAACACCTCATAAACAGCCTCATCAATTTTGCCAGTACTCCCTTTAATTCTTTGATTCTCAGATCTGTCTCTTTGAGGCACCTATCATGTCATAGTCCTCGTGGATTTTCTCCTCTTCTGACATTAACTGTTCTCACTCTGCCAGACTCATTTGGTGGTAGTTTGACATGTGATTAAAGAGTTCCGTAATGTTACTTTCTTCTTTTTTTGGAAATCCTTCATCTTCCTCAAAGTTTGCCATTCCAGTTGATTAGCATTTTACTTAAATAAAAATCATAACCTCTTAAAGAATCAACAGGCAACAACCACCAAATATGTTGATGCAATGGACAGAGAGACATTCAAGGTAGGTGGGGTGAGAACTTTACTGGAAACTAATTGTTAAATGTTCAGTACATTAGTTAAGACAACTCTTGCTTTCTTACACAATCTTGTAATTGCAGAGACTGGCTTAACAATAACAAGGACACTTGATCTTTTGGGGGATAATTTGCAATCACTTTAAGTTTATCAGATTTTCTCCAGGGAATGACATTGCCAAAAATCATTTTTATTTTCACAAAGGTTATCTGTAGAGGAGTGAGTTATCTCACTAAGCAATGCAGGTGCAGTTGAATATTTCAAAAACTCAGTCCTCTAAGAAATGTTCTAAAGTAGTTAATATTACAGAGGTCTTTATGTTTCCAAAATACCTTAAAATTATTATTCTATTTTTAATGCACTGGTAGTTATTTCAACTGAATGTATGAAAGGCACCAAACGGTGTTCCAGGAAGAAAGCAGGCCCTTGATAAATATCAATACCCTTCTCTTCCCTTTGGATAAGACCACAGTGTTATTCAAAGTCTAAAAGACAGCACATAGATCAATTGGATTAGAACTGTGTAGTGGGACTTCTAACAGTGTTTGAAGTGACCAGGACTTTGGGGAAATGGATACATGTCTAGTCTGACAGAGTTACCGAGTCACTCATTGACCCCTGTAGTGGGTTCCAAATGCCTGTGAGATGGGTAAAAAAAAAAAAAATGCTGCCACAGAAACAAGTCTCTTTATAGAGAGTTAAGGTCTAATATAAAATAGATATAAGCCTTGGCAAAACAGAATCCATTCATACTTTTATTTATTCAGTACTAATATTGATCCTTTACTGTATATCAGATAATATCAGCTGAAATGCAATAATGAACACAAGTAGAGTCCACCCCCTTCTCATGGTACCAATGGAGAGAAAGACAATGACATCAGTGGACATATAGCAAATTGACATGTGTGCGCCAAGAAAAGGGAACATGGTCTTTAAGAACATATGACAATGAACAAGACTTAAGCACGAGAGCAAAGCAGAGTGCATTCTCATGAGGAAGAGTGCTCTGGCAGCCAGACCAGCAGTTGAAAGAGTCCAGAGGCAGGAGAGCAATTGAGCGTTTAAAGAGCTCTAGGTGTGTGCCTGAAGTACAGGAAATGAGGGAGAGATGAGTGACAATGAGACCTGAAAGGTAGGGGCCAGAATAGGTTAAGCCTTGGGGACCATTGGGTATTCCTCCTAAAAACAATGTGATGTCACTGATGGTTTTCAATGTAGAGGTGGCTGGAAGCCCTAATTCATATAAAGGTTGTAGCCCAGTGTGTGGCATATTGTAAATGCTTCATAAACAGAAACTGTTACTATTGTAATAATCACTGTTGAAACTATAACTTCAATACCACAATGTTTGGGGGCTGTATTAGTCAGGGCTTTCCAGAGGGACAGCATTAATAGGACATATGTATACATGAAAGGGAGTTTATTAGGGAGAACTGGCTCACACGATCACAAGGCAAAGGCCCACAATAGGACATCTGCAAGCTGAGGAAGAAAGAAGCCAGTAGTGGCTCAGTCAAAGTCTGAAAGTCTCCAGACCAGGGAAGCCAACAGTGCAGCCTTCAGCCTGTGGTTGAAGGCCTGAGAGGCCCTGGCAAACCACTGGTGTTAAGTCCAAGGGTCCAAAGGCTGAAGAACCTGCAGGCTGATGTCCAAGGGCAGAAGGAAGCATCCAGCCCAGGAGAAAGAAGGAAACCAGAAGACTCAGCAAGGGAAGTTATCCCATCTTCTTCTACCTGCTTTGTTTTTGCTGTGCTGGCAAGCCAATTGGATGGTGCCCACCCACACTGGGAGTGGGTCTTCCTCTCCCAGTCCACTGACCCAAATATCAATCCCCTCTGGCAACACCCTCACAGGCACACCCAAGAACAATACTCTACCAGCCATCAAGGCATCTTTCAATCCAATCAAGTTGACAGCTAATATTAACCATCACAGGGGCATTCCTGGGGAGAGCTAATATTACAGGATCACCAGAATAGGATTATTCAAAAGTGGCAGCTGTCATTAAGATGACATTTTAAAAGCATCTTATTGAGTTTCAAGGACATCTGGAAACAGTCACCCAACAGGTTGGTCATACGTCATGCAAATAAGAAGGCAACCCAGACTATCCCAAAGGGCTTCTTCATAATATTTGTTGCTATATTGCCATGTTCTCAACAGCACATAGCAAGGGAGGTGGAAATACTGCCCACACCTGCAAACACCCATGTTGACCTGTGTACGTTATAAATAGGTACAATTGCTCCTCTTCAATATTACTGAGGAAAGGATGGAGTGGGATAAAATAAGGAGTAAACGAGAGAGAGAATATGCAGATAAGATGAGGAGGAGGAGCTGGTAGTGGGTCACTTAGTACCTTAGTCTGCATCTTGCATAGTGAACATAAAAGCTATTGGAATTCAATCAAAAAATTTTTGCCCCTAACATTTGATACATGTATAATAAATATTATTTCTTTATTCTAATTAAATCTCTCTCTCTCTCTCGTTTTCTCTCTCTCATCTCTCTGTCTCCCTGGATCCCCATGCCACTCAGTTGGCTTAATAATTGCAGTCATTCACTGGGGTAGTGCAAAAATCTAAAACCTACCAGAAAAACATTGGGTTGTGTTGGTAATCCCCAGCCTGTCATTGTTGCTGCTGATATCCAGTTGCTCACCGACATGCAATTGCTTTCTGCTCACTTTAAAAGTGGGACAGCAAGATTTTGTCTGAGAGCCCCAGTGCTTAATAATTCTGTTTCTGTGGCTGTAACAAAGCTGTTCCTCCCAGTTTTGCTACCTCCTCATGGTACTGGCTTTAAGAAGGGCTTTGTGGCCAGGCACGTGACTCACACCTGTAATCACAGCACTTTGGGAGGCCGAGCTGGATGGATCAACTGAGGTCAGGAGTTTGAGACCAGCCTGACCAACATGGTGAAACCCCATCTCTACTAAAATTACAAAAATTAGCCAGGTGTGGTGGCACATGCCTGTAATCCCAGCTACTTGGGAGGCTGAGGCAGGAGAATCACCTGAACCCGGGAGGCGGAGGTGGCTGTGAGCCAAGATTGCGCCATTGCACTCCAGCCTGGGCAACAAGAGTAAAACTCCGTCTAAAAAAATAAATAAATAAATAAAAAGAAGGGCTTTGTTTCCTCTCCTATGTATTCTGCCAACCTGTGTCCCTCCCATCCTGTTACCTCTCAAAGTCAGATTAATATAGCAATATATAATGTATGTGTGCTATACAATCCCTGTTGTCAGTATTAACAACTAATTTCATTGAACACTTTTCATTGCATGTTGACAACTTTTGAATAGCTGCATGAATATAATTTATTTAAAATTGCCAAACCACTGGTCTTGTTCAAGTTTAAACTAAGATAAAGCTTACCAATCAGTAATTAAGGGGAAGGATCCACTTGATTTGGCCAGTTAGAATACTTCAAATATAAGAGACATTTCCACAAGATATTACTTATATCAGAATTGATACCTGAAATTTAACTATTAATAAATTCTCTAATTTAGCTCTTTTGATTCTGAAATGCAGATATAAAAAGGCAGGAAGCATCTGAAGAGTTTCTCATTCTGGAGATCAACCTGTTTCTCCAACCTCATTTGTTTGGAAGGAAAGTACACAGAAGCAGCAAACCTCAGCCTCTGAAGGGGCCCAACTCCTGACTCTACATGGCTCAAGGGTTATTTCTTAGCAAAGAATATGTATAGGTTACAACCAACATCTATCAAAAATAAAAACAAAGCAAATTCCTAGTAATTGGTAAATGCCTTCTATTTTCTATTGACTCCTTCCTCTGGGCCATGATTATTTTGTTAATAAATTGTACTTCTGAAGGAATATGAACTTGAACCATGCTCTGATTTAATAATGCAATAGATAGAAAGCCTAGGAATATTTCTGAATATAGTACTGGCAATGCTATAAACAAGGCATTTCAACTGATTACCACATACTTAATAGGACATAAAAGCTTGGAGTCCGAGGTGGCAAAAACAAACAAACATTTCAATCAAGGGCAATTTGTAAGAGTGGATTAGATGCAATGTGGATTTGTACTTCTAAGCAAACATGTATTTTATTTTATTTTATTTTATTTTATTTTGTTCTATTTTTAGTTCCAAGGTGCACGTGCAGGACATGCAGGTTTGTTACATAGGTAAACGTGTGCCATGGTGGTTTGCTGCACCTATCAACCCACCACCTAGGTATTAAGCCCAGCATGCATTAAGTATTTTTCCTGATGCTCTCCCTCCCTCACCCCTCTGACAGTGTGTATTGTTCCCCTCCCTGTGTCCACGTGTTCTCATTGTTAAGCTCCCACTTTTAAGCGAGAATATGCAGTGTTTGGTTTTCTGTTCTCTGAGCAAATATCTTACGAACTTTTTTCTTCACTGATGGCTGAAACTCATGCAGCAAATGAAAATATCATTGTTTCTAGATTGGGCCAACTCAGTAGCCTCCCACTTACATCTGCTCTGAACACCTCAAAGGTCTCATGTGAGCTCACCCTGTCTTCCTATCCAGGCTTTTCCTGACTTTCACATTCTCTCACTGTCTACGCAGTAGCTAGACTGACCTACTTTTAGTCATTCCTACCTACTGGGTCTCTTTACCTAGCTAATTCCTATTCATCCTTTATAAGCCAGACTCCCAGTGAAGCTTTCCCTGGACTTCCTTTACTAAGTCAAATCCCTGCTAAGTATCAGTGCCTCACAGTTCATGACAGTGACACATTTGTACTTGTTTATGTGATTATTTGTTTAACACCTACCTTATCCACTCACTGTGAGCTTGTTGAAAGGAAGATTCATCTAAGTTTTGTCACTCTTGCATCTACAGTGCCTCATCGCATTTGACACAATGTCAGATCTGACAAATGTTCGTTAGACAAATAAATGAAACATAAATGTTATCTGGGCCAAGTTTACCTGTGAGCGCAGAGAACTCAGATGCTAATATCTTATTTGGAAGGCCAAGAAAGTCAGTATAAGGACAGGGACACTGAGTTCAGAGCACTGAAAATAAGTATTTATTAACTCACAAATATGCAGAGGTTTAAAATATGTTGAAAAAGTTCACCTAAAAGCAGTCATTGTCCCATCAAGTATCTTTGATTGGTGATATGATTTAGCTGTGTCCCCACCCAAATCTTATCTTGAATTGTAATTCTCATAATCCCCAAGTGTCATGGGAGGGATCTGGTGGGAGTTAATTAAATCATAGGGGCGATTACCCCCCATGCTGCTGTTCTCATGATAGTGAGTGAGTTCTCACAAGGTCTGATGGTTTTATAAGGGGCTTTTCCCTCTTTGCTCGATGCTTCTCCATCCTGCCATCATGTGAAGAAGGACATGTTTCCTTCCCCTTCTGCCATGATTGTAAGTTTCCTGAGGACTTCTTCAGCCATTTGGAACTGTGAGTCAATTAAACCTCTTTCCTGTATAAATTACCCAGTCTCAGGCAGTTCTTTATAGCAGTGTGAGAACAGACTAATACAATTGGTATATAAAAGTTTACCGGTAACAAAGTAAATATATTAAAGTATTTCATTCAGAAGGTACTCATAGATCTAGCTAAAGAACATTTAAATTGTATAATCATGGGGAAGATGGACATGATTGATACAATATTCTACCTCCCCTGCTTCCATGCCAGATTCCACTGACAGCATCAATTCTCATGTTCATTGAAAACTCCAAATTAAGCTAAACTTCCTCCACTCTAATTTGTATTTTGGCTGATTTCTGTCTTCTTCAAAGTGATGGAGGTTTTTCTGTTAAAGATCTTGTTTGGCAGCTGAGGATAGGGAATGTCAGGTTCCCTTGACTTCCTCTCCAAATGAACAAGAAGCTCCTGGCTCCAGGCTCCTAGCCCCAGAACAGATTCCTAGTAGCAGTCAACAAACCACAGATTGGTCTGGAAGGAGACTGCAAAGATGCCCTTACATAAAAATTAGTTCCACAGACATAGTGATGATGACACAGAGGCAAAATACATAGTTCTCTGTGGTGAGAAAGTAGAGCAGAGACGAAGGGAAGGGCTTGATGATTGAAGCCCCCTGTAGTCTATAGAAGATGACCTTAATATGTCCCTCAGTTTGGCCAAACTTCACATATACTTCCTGACTCTAGGCCCAGATCTCCATTTTCTTAAAGCAGTTTCTCTAGAAAATGTGTAATTGTAAGTTATTTCTTTAACCTTTTGTGACATAAATCCTTTTAAAAGCCTCTTTTCAATTTTATAACCCAGGGATGTCTTTCTTTAAAGACCCGGGAGCCACCTCCTTGAAATGCAAACATGCAGGGAGATAGCATCCCATCTTCCAGTTTCTGTGGGAGGGTAGGAGCCTAACTTCTGTGGGTGCGTTGTTTCCAGTTGCAGTTTTGCAAGCCCCTCCTCTCATGAAGATACGAGAAAGTTTACTTTTCCTTTAGATAAGGCCAGTTAACAAACACAGATGGCCTACGGTTTTCATTCTCACCCCCAACCCTGCTCTTAAAAACTCCCCTGCTCTTTGTTTAAGCAGAAATGAGTTCCATTTCCTATTTAAGAAATGGAGTTCTCCTTCATTGCAATAGCCTCAAATAAAGTCTTTCTTATCTATTTAACTTTGGTACAATTTTTGCCTTCACACCATATTTAGGAAACTGGACAGTGTCTGAGTTGGTAAAGGCAGGGTGGGACAGCAGGGGAGAGCTCAGAGTCGGGAGAGGATGGACCCTACAGTCCAGACTGGAACCCTGACTCCATCACCGCCCATTGGTAAATTACTTCATCCCTCAGTCTTGGTTTCTTCATCTCTGCCACATAAGGACGGACTGAATCCATTCAGTGATATTAAGAACAGAAAGAAGGGGACGGAATGCAAGACATATTCGGAGAGCAAAATTGGAAGTATTTGGTATTTGATTGGGGTGAGGGAAAAGAGATTCAAGGGTAAATTCAATTTTTCTTTAGTTTAGATAATTTGGGCTAATTGTAATGCCAAAAACTGAGCAGCAAAGTCCTAGGGAAAGGCAGAGCAGACTGAAATAAGTTGTATTTGAAATAGATGTGAAATATGTAGATGTAGACATCCAACATGCCATTGGGTATTCAAATCTGAAGCTCAAGAGAAAGATCTGCAGTGAGAATATAAATCTAGACTGAAAATCTTAGAGGTATGGGATCACTTGGGTGAACTAGTTAAGAATAGCTCTCCCTTTTTCATTCCCAATTCTATTCTTCTTGAATTTTGAATCTTTTTATATTTTTCTTATTTTCCCAGTGGGCCCTAAGTTCACTCCATAGAATTGGCCAGAGAATTCAGTGTCTCAGACTTTGACCTTTCATACTCCCAAGGACACAATTTAAACTTGTCTCTGGTTCTTCCCACTCCTGGCTACTTTAACCACTTTCAGACTGGAGCTGGGATGCAATTGCTCTCTTGGCACTATTGTAAGGGGTAAAATCACATAGACTGTGCTAAAAAAAAAAAAAAAAAGAAAGAAGTAAATTACAATTACAATTATCTTATATATGTGTATTGTATTTCCACACAGCCTCTCTGGTCTTAAAAAGAGCAAAGTGGGTAAAGAATGCAGATAGTGGACAATTTGGGCAGTAAATTAGAGTTGCTTGAATGTATGGTCAACATTGAACAGAATGCTGATGAATTTCACTGAATAATGGCTCAATTCTCCATGCTGCTTTGCTTGAGTGCACAGTCATGGAAGAAATGAATCTGTGTGTTGTCCATTCTGCTGCACACTTCTTGACCTTTTCCAAGTGTGTCAGTCACAGTGAGCTTCATTAAGCTTGACATGCTGTTGTGCCCTTGGCATTTCCACATTGGTCTCATGCATTCTACAGCAGGCTAATAACCATGGCTTAATAAAAAGTAAAACTATCTAAAACTTGGTGCCTTGTTTCCTTGGTGACATTTTTTTTTCTTTTAAGACTCATAATTATCCAACTTGAACAAAACAACTACTACACCTCTGTGGCCACCTAAACAGTCTGAAAATATTTTGCCCTCCATGTTTTACTTCTAAAACTCTCCAATGAAGGCATTTCCTGCAACTGTAAAACAGACTTATGTACTACCCCTTAGCTTTCCTCCGTAAGCTTCCCCGCAAAATGACACCTCCTTTACCCCCATACTCATAAACCAAGGTAGTAGAAGTGCCTGCAATGAGACAAATAGACTCAGAATCCCTCTGAAAGAGAAGTCTATTAAAAAAACGACAACTAAAAAGGAGTAATAACAGGTGTACTATTGCTAATTATCCAGCTGCTCCATTCCATTCTTATTAATTGGGTCCTGCCTTTTTCTTTTTTGAGGCTATGAGTAGAAAACCTTGGAATATTCAAATATACATTCAATCTTTCAGATCATTTGAATTTTTATTTCCATGATATTCAATATACAGCTCTCTGGAAACATGTAATTTACTTTTGGTGCTGTGTAGGCAGTATTTTGTAATGGAAAAATCCCAAGGCATGAAATTGAAAGACCTGGGTTTTAAGATCATATTCTATGACCTACTGTGTGACTTTGGCAAAATTAGTTGACTACTCTGAATGTGTTTATTAATGTTTCCTGACCTGATTCTTATTATTTGTGTACAAAGAAAACTATCAACTTATGTGAAAATATTTACTTTATAAGAGTAATATTCAAATGTTATTTTCCTTCATATCTTACATATTTTACTTTTATTTATTTTATTGCTTTTCTGTCTCTCTTCTCTAGTACAACATAAACTCCACGAAGGTAGGGATGTTTGTCTGCTTTATTTACTGCAGTATCTTGAGCTCCTTGCACTGTGCTTGCTGCCCAGTAGCTGTATTAATCTGTTCTCAAGCAGCTAATAAAGACATACCTAAGACTGGGTAATTTATAAAGGAAAGAGGTTTAATTGACTCACAGTTCCATATGGCTGGGGAGGCCTCACAATCATGGCAGAAGGCAAAGAGGAGCAAAGCCACGTCTTACATGGTGACAAGCAAAGAGGGCATGTGCAAGGGACCTCCCCTTTATAAAGCCATCAGACCTCGTGAGACTTAGTCGCTATCATAAGAACAGTACAGAAAAGACCTACTCCCATGATTCAATTACCTCTCACAGGGTCCCTCCCACAACACAAGGGAATTATAGGAGCTACAATTCAGGATGAGATTTGGGTGGGGACACAGCCAAACCATATCAGTAGCTATTTGTTGAAAGAATAAAAGAATGAACATGCACACAGATTTCTACTTGGTTTTACAATTGCTTAGAAAGGATTATGTTCTTTCTGATTGTTGTACTTTTAAGTTGTTTATGGAACTGTTAACAAATCATTAGAAAGATATCCCATTTTGATTGAGTGTTTAAGGAGAAATGAAATGCCTGTGTATTTATAGAAGACTTTACCTTAGAAAATGAGGAGCTCAGAAGTAAATTTGAATCAGTGACAAGAAGGCCCGGGACATATAACCATGACAATTTATTGCTGCACTGGTAATTTTGCTTAAAGCAATAAACTTCATTCCATCTACAGTGGAGAAGAATTGAGCCAGTACATTAGGAACACTAATAAAAATAAAGTATCCTCTCAGTTCCTGTGGCTATTTTATCACAACTGGAATGTAACTACATGTGAAACATATATGTCGGATTTGGGGGGCAATTATCATGTAAACACTAAAAGTATACATAAAAGATCTTATTACAAAGTAGGTCTTGAGGGAAAAATAAGAGTCTTTTTCTCTTAGTGGGCACATTTTAGTTTAAATCCTTCACAAGGGAAGACATTTCTAACCACAATGCTCTTCTATATAGGACACATTCAGTTCCACTCTGCCTAGAAGCTGGCTAATAAACTGGATGACCTGCTGAGATTTCTCCCTGAGCTACAACAAACACCAGCTCCTAAATTTTGAGATTTTGCTTTGTCCTCTTTGCTTGCATCACACAGAAGCTCTCTTGCCTGTTTGCAACTATTATTTGCAACAAATATTACATTTATAGGATTTCTCTCAAAGATATATGTATAGCACTTTTGGACATTTTAGGAATAAGAGAAGCATTGTTTTAAAGTACTAAGACATCTGGAAGTCTCTTTACATAATCACCATAGTTGGACTTGCTCACTTTTTGCTCTTAATTCAGTTTTCTCAGTGGCATCTAATGAGGCAACAGCATAAACCTGCTATGCCAATGGCTATATTGTCCTAATAATGAGGAAACTCCTCATCTGCTCAGCCTCGGGAAAATTTCATGCTCTGCTTCCTCCAGAAAAGATGAAATGTGGTTTCCAGGAGCAAGTCAAAGTTTCTTGAACTTTGGCTATTTGGAAATATATGGAGTTATAAAACCTGAAACACATACTTATATCATATCCGGTTTATGGTCTTTATAGTGAGTAAACTTTTTCTGTTTTTATGATTTATATGGAGCATAATGCTTCAGGTTGCCATTAATAATAGTTGCATATAGGTTATGGCTGTTTAATTATCTCCATTTCAATTATTTTATTACTCAATTACTTTATTAATGATCTACCTTTAGAAAGCAAATAATTCTTACTCCACGAACTTTTGTCTCACCCAAAAAAAAAAATGAACAATGGTAACTGCTGAATGAATAAAAAGGGTAATCATTGTTAACCATTAAACAGATGTACTGGTCCCATCTCAGGTATTGATTTCATCTTCTGAAAGAAAATGAATTGGGCAAAGGTACAGCTAGGAACTAAATAAGAAAACTTTCAGTGAAACCACAATAATTGAGGTTAACTTGGATGAAAAAGTATAATTAAACACCTTGCTAATGCCTAATGGTACCTGGGAAATGCATTGTAATTAGAAATATAACTTACACAAAAAGGAGGAATGTTGCTATACCATTTTTTAAAAATGGTTTTCTTGGGTGAGTTAAATAATAACCCTTTTGAATGGGTAATGGGCTTAAAAATAGTTTATTTATGGCTGGGCAAGGTAGCTCAAGACTGTAATCCCAGCACTTTGGGAGGCTGAGGTGGGCAGATCACGAGGTCAGGAGATAGAGACCATCCTGGCTAACATGGTGAAACCCCGTCTCTAATGAAAATACAAAAAAAAAAAAAAAAATTAGCCAGGCATGGTGGCAGGCGCCTGTACTCCCAGCTACTCGGGAGGCTGAGGTAGGAGAATGGCGTGAACCTGGGAGGTAGAGCTTACAGTGAGCCTAGATCGTGCCACTGCACTCCAGCCTGGGTGACAGAGCGAGACTCCATCTCAAAAAAAAAAAAAAAAAAAAAAAAAAAAAAAAAATATATATATATATATATATAGAGAGAGAGAGAGAGAGAGAGAGAGAGAGAGTTTATTTACAAATTGTACAAAAATAGAATTTAATAAGTAATATTGACTATTCTAAGTTCTAAAGTGCTGTCCAAATTAAAACTACCATTTTTAACTAATTTTTTTCTTCAAATATAAAAACTAAGGGGAATTCTATAAAATCTCCCTAATATTCTTTACAAGTTAAGAATGTTTTAAATGTTGATTTGGCTCACATACTTTTTTTTCATGAAATGGAAAATGCAGGTATATTTTCCCCTTGTAAGTGCAATGTCTTTAAACATTACAGTTTAGGACTTACATGAAGATTTGCATTTTGTCTGTCGTTTTATTAATTATTTATTTATTTACTTTTGGTTGAGTGAATTTATGTGAGAAAAGAGAAAGTAGATGGTTGATTCTATTTTTCATTTTTGCATCTCATTCTAAAATCTGATCATTTTTAAGTTGCTTTTTTAACTGAGCGAGAGTGAGGAGTCATCAAAGATTGACATCCTATTTGCCATCCTTCTCTATCCAACTACTTCTGATTCTTTCTGGGAAGCTTTTCAGGCAATAGGCCAGTTCTGTCTAATTTAGTCTTTTCTGCTCACAAATATTATTAAGTCTCTCTTATGCTATCCACATTTTTCTTTAAGCCCGCTGGCGCTGTCCTTCTCTGTGTTTTTCCCAACACTGTCAGATAAATGTTAAATGCCTGTGAATTTCTGTTCCAGAAATATGACAAAATTATTCATCAGTCCTCTTGCTGAAAATGACTAAAATTGCAAAAAAAAATTTAACATTTTAAAAGTATTGAAAAGTTGATAAGAAAATAAGGAATTACCAGCTAAATATCATCAGACCACCAAAGATAAACAGAAAATCTTAAATATCAGCCAGAATAAAAGATACATGACCTTTTTAAAAAATAACTAGACTGATACTTGACTTCACAAAAGCAACAATGGAATTCCAAAGATAATAAAGTGATACTTTCAACATGCTGAAAGAAAATAATCGCAGTTTAGAATTCCATATCAGTGAAGAGATCTTGCAAGAATAACTAAAGATATTTTTATACAGACAAAAACTGAGAAAGTTACTTCTCACTGAAGAATATTACACAGGATTTACTTCAAGCCAAAGAAAGACAATCTCAGATATGATGTGTGAAATACAAAAAGAAATAAAAAATGAAGAAAGTTTTAAATATTCAGCAAATCTAAGCAAATAATGATTGTATAAAACAATATTAATAATAACCTGTGGGGTCAAAAATAATAAAAATGTAGGCAATAATGTAAGTTAGGAGGGTGCATTAGTCCGTTTTCACACTGCTGATAAAGACACACCTGAGACTGGGTAATTTATAAAGAAAAAGAGGTTTAATTGACTCACAGTTCCATGTGGCTAGGGAGGCCTCACAATCATGGTGGAAGAGGAAAGGCACATCTTACATGGCAGCAGACAAGAGAGAATGAGAGCCAAGTGAAAGGGGAAACCCCTTATAAAACCATCAGCTCTCGTGAGACTTAAAACCACGAGAACAGTTATAGGGGAAACTCCCTCCATGATTCAATTATCTTCCACTGGGTCCCCCCTGCCACAGACATGGGAATTATGGGAGCTACAATTCAAGATGAGA
This sequence comes from Homo sapiens, assembly GCF_000001405.40. NCBI lineage: Eukaryota > Metazoa > Chordata > Mammalia > Primates > Hominidae > Homo > Homo sapiens. The sequence goes on along the minus strand of NC_000002.12, from coordinate 228,152,875 downwards.
TTTGGGTGGGGACACAGCCAAACCATATTAGGGGAGTTAAAATGTTCTAAGATCCTTGTACTTACCAGGAGGAGGATAAAAATGTTAATTAGTTTTAGAACATAATAAGGTAAGTATACATATTATATTTTTAGGATAACTACTAAAAAAAAAAAAGAAGGTATAACTTCCACACTAGGCCAAAAAATAATAAAACTTGACTAATGCAACTGAAGAAAGAATATAAAGAAGAGATGGGATTGTAGGAAAGCAGACATTAAATGGACCCAAATATATCAGCAGTTACATTAACAGTAAATGAACTAAATGCTGCAAATAAAATACAACGATTATCAACCGGATTTTTAAAAAAATTAAACAAAATAAGATATATTTAAAACATGAAATACTAATAAGTATGGAAAAATATATATCATCCAATGGCTAACCAAAGAAAACATGCAGCTGGGCAAAAGGAACTTTAAAATGGAAAGACATTGCTAGAAATAAAGTATAATGGTAAAGACCTACATTGCCAGCAAGATATGCTATTTTAAGTTTCTATTCACCTAATAAAATTGCCTCAAAAATAAAAATAGCAAAATCAAACAGAATTACAAGAAGAAATTATTCAAAAACTTATAAAGAACTTTGAAGATTTGTATATCACAACCAGCTTAACTTAATGCAACTATATAGAATACTACAACCGAAACCTTTAGAAAGTATGTAACATTTACAGAAATTGGCCATGCATAGTGGAGAATAAAGCAATTCTCAACAAATACCAAGGATTAATGTCATGTGAAACATGTTATCTGAGTACAATACAATTTAAATAGAAATACAGACAAATTGAAAATTTCTAAATGGATAACAAATTTAAAATACCCTTTCACTAGCATGCAGAGCTACAAAACTGTTATGAAAAGTAGAAAGTAATTTGAATTTAAGGATAATAAAAATTCCACATTTCAAAACCTGTAGAATGAAGATAAAGCCATTTTAAGAGAAACGCATATAGTCTTAAAAGTGTACTTTTTAAAAAAAGGCTAAATATAATACTAAATATAATAAGCACCTATCCTCTGAGATTTTAAAAACAACAAAATAACTCCAAAGAAAGTAAAGAAAGGAAATGATAATAAGACCTGAAATTAATACAAGAAAAAATAACCAGCCTTGCAACAGAATGAGATCCCATCACTACAAAAAAATTTTTTTAAACTATCAAATCAAAACCACAATGAGATACCATCTCACACCAGTTAGAATGGCGATCATTAAAAAGTCAGGAAACAACAGGTGCTGGAGAGGATGTGGAGAAATAGGAACACTTTTACAATGTTAACGGGACTGTAAACTAGTTCAACCATTGTGGAAGTCAGTGCGGTGATTCCTCAGGGATCTAGAGCTAGAAATACCATTTGACCCAGCCATCCCATTACTGGTATATACCCAAAGGACTATAAATCATGCTGCTATAAAGACACATGCACACGTATGTTTATTGCGGCACTATTCACAATAGCAAAGACTTGGAACCAACCCAAATGTCCAACAATGATAGACTGGATTAAGAAAATGTGGCACATATACACCATGAAATACTATGCAGCCATAAAAAATGATGAGTTCATGTCCTTTGTAGGGACATGGATGAAACTGGAAATCATCATTCTCAGTAAACTATCGCAAGGACAAAAAACCAAACACCGCATGTTCTCACTCATAGATGGGAATAGAACAATGAGAACACATGGACACAGGAAGGGGAACATCACACTCTGGGGACTGTGGTGGGGTGGGGGGAGCGGGGAGGGATAGCATTAGGAGATATACCTAATGCTAAATGACAAGTTAATGGGTGCAGCACACCAGCATGGCACATGTATACACATGAAACTAACCTGCACATTGTGCACATGTACCCTAAAACTTAAAGTATAATAATAATAATAAAATAAATAAATAAATAAACTATCTATGCATGGTGGTGCTTACCTGTAGTGCCAACTACTGGGAGGCTGAGGTATGAGGATTGCTTGAGCCAAGGAGATCGAGGCTGTGATGAGCCATGATGGCACCACTGCACTCCAGCCTGGGCGACAGAATGAGACCCTGTCTCCAAAAAAAGAAACATAGACTATGGAGAATAAATGAATCAAAAGTTGGTTCTTTGAAAATACAAATCAAATTGACAAATGCCTGGTATCCTTAATTTTAAAAGAGGGGTAGAAGCCCATAAAACAATGATAAAAATGAAAAAAAAAGTAAACATCATTATAGATATTACAGACAAAAGTATTATCAATAATATAACATTATTAAAATGTTATGTTGATACATAAAAATAAGATTTAGATAAAACAGGCAATTTTGAGTACAAATATAACTTACTAAAGTAACTCAAGAAGAAATGGAAACCACGAATAGTCTACAGACATTAATTTGATTCTGTGATCAAAAACCTTCTAACAGAAAATTTCTACTCCCAGATAGCTTTGCAGGAGAATTCTGCCAAATATTTGATAAATAGGTAATTCCAATAGTATACAAATTCTCCCAGCAAGTAGAAAAATAGAAATGTCCTGAATTAGCTTGACAGGGGAACAAAGGAAATATAGCAAGTCTCATTCATGATCAAAAGAACAGCTGCCCAACCAAAATATTAGAAAGTTGGGTTCCACAACGTGTGAAAAAGATAATATTGTTATAAAACTGAGTTTATCTCAGGAATTCAAGCCTGGTTTAACATTAGAAAATCAACTATTATAATCAATCAAATTAACAAATAAAATTAAAGCACTAGAAAACCACAGACAGACAAGAACTTCCTTAACTTAATAAACAGTATCTACAGAAACCTGTAGCAAGCATAATACATGGTGGTGTAACTTTAAGGATTTTTGCATTACTCTATTCAACATTTCCTGAAGGTCCTAGCCAAAGCAGTAAAGCAAAAATGAGAAACAAACAGTAAAACATTTAGAAAGGAAGAAACCAAATCTGAGCATTTCCAGTTTATTTGATTGTGTACATAGAAAATAAAAAAATAATCTGCAGATAAATTATGCATTATTAGACTGAATAAATAAATTTAGGATGTTTGCTGAATATAAATCAGAAAATTTACATAAATAATTTTTCATATGAGTCACAAAAAAAGGGAAAATTTTAAAAAGGAAACCATTTATAATGTTATCAATAAATGTGAAATTTCTAGGAATAAATCTAAAAAAAGCATGCAAGACCTTTCCAGAGAGAATTATAAGTGGCTTAGATTGGAGATCCTCTTCTGTGACTACAGATGGTTGCTCCTTCTTCCCTAATGCTCTCTTCCCCAATCCCTCCACACAAGGCAGGTATCCTGCCTTTATGTCTCTGATATTTTACTACCTTAGTTCTTCTCCAGCATTCTCATTCACACAGTAAAATCGTATTGAATTCTAATGATTTACCAGTGACTATCAGGCAATGAGATGTAAAGATAATTTCACTGACTACATCTTATTCACTTCTTGCTTCTATATACATTGATATCATTGATTTTATTTTTTCATAATTATAATGACTTTTTAGCTTTTGAGATTTGAAGTAATATCCTATTGATCTGCATGATTTGCATTGCAAAAAAGAACTAGAGCATGCCTTACAGGTGAGCATTGTGTAGAGACTTAGTCAAAGTAAACAAGTCATACAAAAAAGCTGAAATAAATGTTCATAAATTATGTGGTCTTAAAATTCTCTCTATTAGAATATTAAGCCTGAGAAACACAAAGTGTGTTTCTTATCTAGATATTCATAAAACAAATTGGAAGGTCCTGAAAGTTTTATCCACATGATGTAAATTACCTCTTTAATGCATCAATTATATGAAGCTCAATCAGACACAAATCCAGCGTATTACCCAAGACAGATGTTATCTGGAAATATATTTGCAAACTTTCAACTCTTTCCTGAGTTTTAACAAAATGATTACATCTTCACCATCTAGCTACTTGTGTTCTTTTTAAAACAGCCTGGTGAGATCTGCATCTTTCCTCTTAAATAATACTAAAACTTGTGTTTCTTTTTTTCCCCCTACCCTCTCCTCTCTTGCTTCCTCTCCAAATCTGCTGGTGTTTGTAACTCCCTTATTGTGGGTGTGGTCCTCTCCGTCAGCCATGTGGGTAGTTGAACCAAACTCACCTACCTGCCTCTCTGCTGCCTTGCCCACCAGGAGACACTCCCAGGAATCCAGGTTGGTTGTGGGGTGTGGGGTCCAGGGGATTATAAAGCCAAGTCGTGATCAGGGCCTCCTCTTCCATTCCAGCATCCCATGAGGCCTCTGGGATCCCAGGTCTCAGGTTTTGGCCCTGTCCTTGCAAGCGTCCTTGTTTAGGGCACTTCAGCCAGACAGCAAACTGTGCTGCACACCTTCCCTCTTCTTTACCATCAAATTTTACCCATTCTGTGGCCAATTCCCGATCCTGCTACCTTCTTCTATCTTAGATGACTGTAAGGAATTAGGGCTTTCAGCACAAGACTAGACAGGTGGCAGACATTTTTAGTTAGGCAGAGCATTCCTCTTTCCTCAAATGTCAAAAGGAGGATGGTTTTCTACTTGCATGGAAACCTAGGACTGGCAGTGTGTTTGGGGGATACCCCTCAATGACCCAAGTACCCCTCTTCTCTCAGCAAGAGTAGCCATACAACCTGGTGCAGCCAGAGAGGCAGCTTCTTATGCTAACCCTCACTCCTGTCTGCATTGCTCTTCTCTGGGCTCCAGTATCTCAATAAAACGAGAGCACCCCAAAGAAAAACAGTTCTAAAGACAGTTAGTATGGGACAAAAGCACGTTGTATTCTGTGAGGACAACAGGGCATCCAGGAAAGAGCACAGGCCGGAGTCAGTTTCGTCTAGGTTCGGATTCCAAATTAAGCCTCTTGATTAAATGCAACTGAGTAAATCAAATTGCACTTGATTAAGTGCACCTGAGTAAATCAAGTTGCACTTGATTAAGTGCAACTGAGTAAATGCTAAGCCTGAGTCTCAGTCTCCTTAGAAATGTAATAGTCAAATAGCACCTCCCCTACTGTGATGCTGTGGGGATTTAAAGTGGCAAATGTAAAAATCCTGTCACAATGATTGGGGCAAAATAGGTGCTCTATAAAGTATGTTTATTACCATTGACTGAAGTTATCTCCCTTCGGTAACAACAAAGCTTGTAAAGTGAATCATATGAGTCCCATTTCACAGATGAGGAACCTGAAGCTCAGGGAGATTAGGGAATTTTCCCAAGGTCGAACTCGTAAAAGTGACAGTCGGGACCCAAGTTCCAGTCTTCTGACTTCTGCATAGTAGTATCTTCACCACACCTTATGGCATAAGAAATGTTCAGACTTTGACATATTTATATTAACTGCCAGTCTTCTCAGGTGGCATATGTATTTAATGTGTAGATACTGTTATACATTGCCTCATTAATTCTACTGGTTTTAAATATTGCAATTGTAAACTATATGCATCTTGTATTGATTTTTAAAAAACAGAAATTATGAGATTTCCACTCACGGTTTATATGTATGATTTCTACTTATCTGATAGATTCACTAACATTGGTATCTCAGGACTATAGACTCTCACAGACAAAAGCATGGAGTTATAATTAAAAGATCATCTTTATTAACTTACTTAAAGATAAATCACAAGATCTTTTAAGTGGTGCCATTATTGACCCTACCACATTTATGGAGCACTGACTAATTGTCAGGCATTGCACTAAGTATATTGTGGAGTTCAATAGTGAATCAGATATTCTTTTCATCTCAAGAACTAAATAACAAATTTAGAAATAAAATATGGCAATTTTAATTCAACTCCACCTAAATTGGAAAATCCCCCTTCCTTCAATCTAAAATGCAAATGTGCCTTAAGATGGAGATTGGTACATATTAACATTGAGGGGTGAAGATATAATTACTGAATTTTATTTTTATAGATATTGTCTCCAAGAGGAAGAAAATATCCAATTCTTTGTCAGATGCATAAGTAGCTTACTGGCACTATTCACAATAGCTAAGACATGGAATGAACCTATATGCTCATCAATGACAGATTGGTTAAAGAAAATGTGGTACATATACACCATGGAATATTATGCAGTCGTTAACAAAGAACAAGGTCGTGTCTTTTGCGGGAACACGCGTGGAACTGGAGACTATTATCCTTAGCAAACTAATACAGGAACAGAAAACCAAATACTGCATGTTCTCACTTATCAGTGATGAGAACACATGCACACAAAGAAGGAAACAACAGCCAATGGTGTTAATTTGAGGGTGGAGGAGGAAAAGCAGCAGAAAAAATAACTATTGGGTGCTGGGCTTAATACCTGGGTGATGAAATAATCTGTACACAAACTACCGTGACACGAGTTTACCTATGTAACAAACCTTCACGTGCAACCCCAAACCTAAAATAAAAGTTAAAAAAAATAGTAATAAGTAGCTTGCTAGAGGATTTTTAGGACAGTGAAAATACTCTCACTCTGTTTAATACCATAATGGTGGATATATGTGTCACTTTTCCAAACCTATAGAATACACAAGGCCAAAAGTGAGCGCTAATGTGAACTGTGGGTGTTGGGTGATTACGATGTGTCAATGGGTGTTCATCCGTTGTAACAAATGTACCACTATGGCTGGGGATATTGACAATGGGAAGGATGTGTGTGGAGGAGCAGGGGGTACATGGGAACTCTCTGGACCTTCCTGTTAAATTTGCTGTGAACCTAAAATTGCTCTAAACATAGTTTTGAAAAAAAAGAAAACCAAACAATTTCTCTAACGTGAAAGGCAAAAACAAAAGCAAAAAAATCTGAGGGGAGAAAACCTAAGATGAAAAATATGTCTGGGATGTTTGTTATCCGAGGATCATGTAATTAAATATTTTCCAGGCCAATAATTGTAATGAAAAGGAGTAGGCCCACAAGCCACACTTTAGAGGGGTCCCGAGTTTGCCAATTACTGCCCAGTGTAGCCCCATTTACCACATTTTCCAGAGAAGACAGAAACTCAGTCTTTTTTAGGTACATTCTTTCAGTCTTCAATTGTTGGCAGCTAATTTAAAATATTTAATACTGTGCAGGCCAACATGGCTCCCGCTTTCTCAGTTCTGTTTATACTCTCATTGCTAAATGTTTTTGATATAAAACTACTTCTATTTTAAGTTTACTATATTTTTATTTATAATTTTTTAATACCTAACAAGTTGGAAAATGCATTCATGATGGGAATTGTTACCTAAATTAAGTGGAAATAATCTATAATTGTAATGATAGAAACTCCAGGTACATTCTGGAGAGCCATTCATTGAATCCTAATATGCCTGCCAAAATGGGAGCCAAAATCACCTGGGCAAGCTTATCCTCCCAACTCTTTCTTAAGGAATATTCTTTAATCCAATTTCAACATGCTGCATGTTTGGTTCTTCTTTAAAAATTTTTCTACAGGCTTTAAATATTTTCTAAATAGTCCCCATAATATATACTAAATGTATAGAAAATATAGAAAGGACAGTAAATCGAACAAAGGGCTCAATAAATCCTGGAGTCCACTAAAGTAGTTAAAGAAAAATGAAACCAGTAGTATTGGCCATTCTTACACATTAGGAGATTAGAAGATACTGCTTTTAAGAGCATTCCTTTTTGTGGTGTGATGATGTTGTTGTTTTAAACTGTGTCAGAAACTATCCAGCCGGCTCCAAGAGGTTTGGCTCTTGGTTTAAGTCTCATTATCCAGAATCAGTGAAGTGCTCCATAGGATTGTCCAAGTTTGATTTCGTTTCACCACCTATCTGCATATACAACTAGAAATCATTTGACAGCCTCATCCCTCAGAGATATGGGGGAGGCAACACATAGACTCATAAACAATTATCCGTGATAAAGGATCCTTCTCAGTCAGGACTAAAGCTTTTGCCGTGGGATGTTATCTTTGGCTTTAAGGAGTATTTGCTGGCTTTATTGGTTTTGTCACTTTTTCCAATCACATCAGTCCCCTTTACTGTGGCAGCTAAATTATCTGTTATCTTTGGTGGGACCCATGACAACTCATCATCAAAGCAGTAACCTATGTATTAAGATTGAAAATTTCATTTGATTTCAAAGGAAAGCATTATTTAATAATCAGAAAATTTCCTCAGAACTCTTAAGTGTAATAGAATTTCACATTTCCTGTTTGTTCATTTCACATGCCTATTTGTTTATAGGCACTAGATTTCAAAATACCTTTATATCACCCATTTTAAAATAAAGAACTTTGTCTAGTCACAAAATAGTATATATTAAATATATAAAAAATATAGAAAGGGGCAAGAAAAAATATCACAAATAGCTACATTATCCAAAGATAGCTGCTATTAACATTTTCATGTTTCTATATATGAAACTATGTATGTATTTGTTTTAATGAACTCATTGATTCAACAAACATTTCCTGAGCATTTACAATATGCCAGGCATTATTCTTGGACTGGAACTACATCGTGGAAAACCAAAAAAGATAAGTGCATTCATGAAATTTATAATCTATAGAGCATGGGGTGGGAGCACACAAGGAGAGGCACATAAAATAAATAATAAACACAGGAAACAAATACATTCTATAGAACATTGGAACATCATACTGATACTGAGAAAAATAGATCAGGGTGGGAGAGACTGGGCAAACAGAGATAAAGAGGCCTGTGTGGCAATTCTAGTTAGGGGAGTCAGAGGAAGTCTCATTGAGAAGGTGACATTTGAGAAAGTCCTGAAAGAAATAATGAAGTGAGATGTGCAGATCTCAACGCACGGAGCATTTCCAGCAGAGGCAACAGTTAGGGAAGGCCCTAAGACAGCAACTGTGCCTGGCCTGTTTTAGGAACAGCAGAGAGGCCAGTGTGGCCAGAGTGATTCGATAGAGGCAGAAGGCAAAAAGACAAGGTCACAGAGGTAACAGACGGTCCATGCATGCAGGACTTGGTAGTCCGTGGCAAGGACTTACAATTTTGCTTGAAATAAAATGCAGAGCTCCTGCAAGATCTTAAGAACGGAAATGACCTGAATGGCTGGGCATGGTGGCTCACGCTTGTAATCCCGGCACTTTGGGAGGCTAAGGCGGGCAGATCATCTGAGGTCAGGAGTTCGAGATTAGCCTGGCCAACATGGTGAAACCCTCATCTCTACAAAAAAAAAAAAAAAAAAAAAGCCAGGTGTTTTGGCTTGGCATGCGCCTGTAATCCCAGCTACTTGGGAGGCTGTCACAGGAGAATTGCTTGAACCAGGGAGGCGGAGGTTGCAGTGAACCAAGATCACACCACTGCACTCCAGCCTGGGCGACAGAGTGAGACCCCCATCTCAAAAATTAAAATTAAAATTAAAAATAAAAATAAAATTTAAAAGAAAGAAATGACCTGAATGGACTTATGTTTTTATTGTCATTATTATTATTTTAGAGACAGGATCCAGCCCTGTCTCTATATACATATATTTCATAGAGACAGGGTCTCATTATGTTGCCCAGACTGGTCTTGAACTCCTGGCCTCAAGCTATCCTCCTGCCTTGGCCTCCCAAAGCACTGAGATTACAGGCGTGAGCCACCGCACCTGGCCCAGTCTTATATTTTAAAATAATACATTCATATCAATAGTTACATAGTGTAATATTTTGCACCCAACTGTGTTCAGTTAACATGGGAACATTTTCCCATGACATTTTTGAGGGCAAAGGGGCATCATCTTCATGTCTGCATACTAACCTTATCAATGTACTTATTGGTGAATGTATTTCTAATGTTTAGGGTTTTTTTTAATTAAGAATAACAAATTGAATATCTCAGTGTGTAAGTCTTTCGTTTGGTGTCTATCATCTAAAATAGATTCCTCGTGGAAAGCATGGCTGACTAATAGGCATGCACGGATAAGAGTTGTGGAAAGTATGGGCAGGTGGTTTTCAGAAATGTCATATGAATGTGTACTCCCAGAAGCAACATGCAAAGCAACACTCATTTTTTAACTTTTATTTTAGGTTAGGGGGTACATGTGAAGGTTTGTTATATAGATAAACTCATGTCATGGGGGTTTGTTGTACAGATTATTTCATCACTCAGATATTAAGCCCAGTACTCAGTAGCTATTTTTCCTTGTCCTCTCCCTCCTCCCACCCTCCACCCTCCAAAACGCCCCAGTGTGTGTTGTCCTCATCTAGGTGTCCGTATGCTCTTGTCATTTAGCTCCCACTTAAAAGTGGTAAACTGCAGTATTTGGTTTTCTCTTCCTGCGTTAGTTTGCTAAGGTTAATAGCCTCCAGCACCATCCATGTTCTCACAAAAAACATGATCTTATTCTTTTTTATGGCTGATAATATCCCAGTAACATATAATCCTTCTTTTTTTTTTTTTGAGATGGAGTCTCGCTCTGTCACCCAGGCTGGAGTGCACTGGTGCCATCTCGGCTCACTGCAAGCTCTGCCTCCTAGGTTCACGCCATTCTCCGGCCTTAGCCTCCCGTCCAGTAACACCTTATTTTAATTAACAGAATACTATATGTTTTCTTAATTTCAGAGAGCAACAAAATTCATCCCTTCACTTATTTAACAACAAAGATTTCTTAAAATGTACACTCTGCCCAGCAGTCCCTGGGCACAACAGAATGGTGTACACTTATGCTCTTCACATGCAACTACGTTTCTTCTCTCTCCTCTTTTACTCCCCTTCACTTCATTATACTATTTCATATGACTGCCTTTAACTGTAAACGATCAACATGAGCGTCTCAAGCCAGAGTCCCATTCCATGTCTAACCTTCAGTAACATTTCCTTAATTCAGTTCCATTTGGTGGTGTTTGTGATAAGTGAAGCAGGGCCTCCACAGAACCATAACTACCGGAATCCCTAGAGGGAAGGATTTGCCAATCAAATTAAGAAGGCAAACAGAAAAAGAAAAATATACATTAAATACAAATAGTTATTATATATTTTTAATGTAACCATTAAATTTTCTCCAATAAAACTAACATTTTAGCAATACCACTACTTTTCTCTGGAAACACTTTCAATTCATGTTTTTCACTAATATCAGATTAGTCTTCTGTAAGCTTTAGAGCTTTGCTTTAATGATCTCAATATTTTCCCATGATAATTGATATAAAATTGTACGCATGAACAGGCTGCATCTTTGTATTGTCTTAGAATAATTGATTAAATTCTGTGTTCTCTTGGATTTAAAAAAAGCCTTTGTTATTCTTCATTTTATAATCTAATGATAATAGTTAATAGTCAGCAGAAGAATAGAAATTTCTCATTGTATATATTTTGAAATCCTAGCTCTAAGAAAAGTGCCACTATAATAAATATTTATGCAATTTATTCAAAAATGTGCATATATTAATGTTGAATATGAAAATGTGCTGAAAACCTATCAAGGAGACTCTTAAGAGTAAATAGATTTACAGGGCTTCATGTGGTATTTCTCAGTTTCATATTGAGTAATTACCTGTGCTAGGTGCTACGTGACTCCTTTACAGGAAATAGCACCATGAAACCACCACAACCATCTCATGACAAAGCTTCTATTATCATCTGCATTTTACAGATGAGAAAACTAAGGTTTAGAGAGGGTTGAGTAATAGATCCAACTCCATCTCTCTAGTAACTGGTAGAAATGGAATTTGCCCTTAGATTCTTGAATGCCAACACACTAGGAACTGGCTTTATTTAGACTCACTTAGATGACACGGTCACAGAAGCAAAGCACTTAAAGGAGTGTTAGAGATCACAGCGGAAAATAACATGGTATGGTGTCTAGAGCAGCAACTGAAATCTTAGGTCTGTTATTTGGCAGCAATATAATCTTGTCTTATTAGGCTGTTTTTTTGCTATAAAGAAATACCTGAGACTGGGAAATTTATCAGAAGAGATGTTTAATTGGCTCATAGTTCTGCAGGCTGTACAAGAAGCATAACACTGGCATCTGCTTCTGTGGAGGCCTCTGGAAGCTTATAATCATGATGGGAGACAAAGGGGGAGTGGGCATGTCACATGGCAAAAGCAGAAGAGAGCGAGAGGGGGGTGTCATCCACTTTTAAACAGCCAGATCTCACGAAAAGTCAGTCACTATTGTGAGGACAGCACCAAGGAGACGGTGCTAAGCCATTCATGAGAAATCCACCCCCCCATGATCCAATCACTTCCCACCATGCCCCACTTCTAATACTGGGGATTATAATTCAACATGAGATTTGGGAGGGGACACATATCCAAACTATATCACTTGGATTACGTGTTACCCTCATCAATCCTCAGTTTCTCCTCTATAAAACGGGTATAATGAAATTAGTATGTAAAGCACACTATAGAGTGCTCAGTACCTGCCGTGCATTAAATGAGGGTAAATTCTGTTAGAAGTAGTATGAAGAAGATCATATATCAGAGTATCAGAGTGAGACACCTGCCCAAGTGGTTTGATGGAAGAACACGGGAATATGAAGCAATTACGGTAACATACATTCTGAATGTCCCTGAACTACAGTCTAGATTTAGCAGAATGCGGTCATATACATAGTGTGCTTTGACTATCTGAAAAATATATACCTCATTTTTTTTTTTTTTAGAAATAAATAACTCTAGGCCGGGTGCAGTAGCTCACACCTGTAATCTCCACACTTCGAGAGGCCAAGACAGGCACATCACCTGAGGTCAGGAGATCGAGACCAGCCTGGCCAACATGGTGAAACCCCATGTTTCAATACAGAATACAAAAATTAGCCGGGCATGGTGGTGGGTGCCTATGATTTCAGCTACTCAGGAGGCTGAGTCAGGAGAATCACTTGAACCCAGGAGGTGGAGGTTGCAGTGAGCTGAGGTCATGCCACTGCACTCCAGCCTGGGCAAAAGAGCAAGACTCTATCTCAAAAGAAAAAGAAAAAAGAAAAGAAAAAGAAAGAAAGAAAGAAAGAAAGAAAATAAATAAAGAAATAAAGAACTCTAGGGATAAATATTTCTATAGTAACCATCTAGTGGTATTCATGTATAAATATGCACATATTCATGCAAAATTAACTTAGCAGCAGGAATGTGTACTTTCTATCTTACATTAAAATAATGTTTTTATACACATTATTTGTAGGGCACACATTTTGAAAAAATTCCCCCATAGCCTTCATTAAAAAATGAAAGAGAAAAGAGAAAAAGGCTAAGTTATCATGCTCACTTGCTTGATACTTTTTCGGAATGAAGGATTATAGTTGGGGTCTTGGGAAAGCCTGAGATTGTGAAACAGCTTTTAAAGATATAAAACTAGTAAATCTGTACAGCAGTGATCAAACCATAGGAAATAACTTGTTATTGTCTTCTTAATGAGAGATAATATATCAATTTACAAAGCACAGATTGTTCAATAAGTGTTATTTTATATTGTCATATAATCTCCAATAACATTCTATTTGGAAGTACAGCTGTTTTCTTACATTAGGAAGTTTACTATTTGATTGTCTTTTCTAATATAATCCAGATATTTTATATAGTATCTGTTTAAGAAGAGATTTCACATTTTACTGTGTATATCTGATAGATTTAGAGTTGCCTAAATAAAAAAGCATTAATTGAACAATATTCAACATAGTGTTTTAGAGAAAACATTATATTGGCTATTGTTGAAAAAAGATTTCGGAACTGAAAATAGGGAATTTTTCCGCTGTTGATATTTACAAATTACATCTCAAATGAAATAACAATACTAAGTAGTGTCTTTGCTTTTCATCTTCTTTTAATAATCAAGATTGAATTAGAGGATAGCTAAATTTGAGGCCATTCTTTCTTCTAAGAATGGGACACTTGTTTTATGATTAATAATGAATGACCTGTTTATATTTTCTTTATTGCCACTTACCAATACCTCAAAAAGTGAAACCCAAACTCAGGTCTGCAACAACATTTTCACCAATCTGAAGACAAAAAGCCCATCTTTTCTTGAAAAGAAATATCCTTCATTCTTGGATAATACATCACAGTTTCTTGCTACACCATTACAAAGCCCTTTATTTGAAGAATGATGGTTAAAGCAGAACTATAAGGGGTTTTCTTGAAGTTTATTTGGGAAAATAAAATGCTGGGCCCTTTATAACATTATTACTGCCATGGTTATTTTTATTTTACTGGTCTAGGAGATTAAGAAGTCTGGAATTTATTTTACAGCTATGGAGCCACCTTTAAGTATTGAAACAGAACATAAAATGATGGCTTCTAAATATTTTCAAGGTTTGGTAATAGTTTCCTATGACACATTTTCTAAAATCCTACAGAATAAATGAGGATTTTGTAGGTCTTTCAGCTACCAATGAGTTGGTGACATATTTAATTTGCATGAATGACATGACATGTCCAACCTAGGAAAGAAAGAAAAAAAATATAAACTTCTTACCTAGGAGATGAAACCAGAAAAATGTACACAGCAGTAAATGAAAAATTTTGTACTGGATACATATTTAAATTGTTAAAACAGATTTTATGCAAGTTATTGCAGCAGGAGTGAGAGCTGTCGGTGCAGAACTGAGGTTAACTCCTAATACAGCAAGGACGAGTGGAAATTTATACCCCACAGGCAGAGTGAAGGGGTTAGTGAACAGAAAATTACTAAGAGGGGATGTCAACAGCAGGGGATTCTTGCTAAACTGTCCTAACGGGGTGCTTACTAGACAGGCCAAGGACTTAAGTATCAAAAGTGGGCGGATGAGGAAGTTGATCAGATATTTGGATGTGAGAATTCTTTCTAAACTGACTGAGCAGGATTCTTCTCTACAGCTGGGCTCAGCAGGCCAAGGTCCAGGCCTAGCTGAGAAGATGTCTCAAAGGAGCTTGACTAAAGTTTGGTCAAGAAAAGAGTCTTTGTCAAGATTGGTTAGAAGAGGAAGATAGGAGACACTAACATCTCACGTGATGTTTAAAACAAGTCAGTTTTTGAAAAATTGACTTAAACCTCTGGGCTTCATGTAACAGGTAAATTACTTTGGGTAATTTAAGAGGGTAAAATAAGAACATTCACTTGAGAAAACTTTCATTTTGAACTGTGTGAAGGCAAATTTTAAAATCCTCTCAATTTTTGGTTGTCATATGTTGTTAAATTGATTTTAATGACAACATCTCAATTCCTTGCTCAAGATCTCTTCTGGTAGCTCTGAGTTTTAATTTTTTTTTCTAGTGTTGGGATTAAAGGATTTAATATAAAGCTCAAGAGTAGATATCCCTAATAGGGTTGAGACAATCAAATGAATTATAATTACTACATTTCACCAAGAGCATTCTTTAAGGAGGGAGAAGACAAGAGCGAATCTTATCTTTTAGAATCTGTTAAAATGGTTTAACTTTACACTGTGTTTACTTGACATTTTAGCAAGCATAACAG
Source organism: Homo sapiens (assembly GCF_000001405.40). Lineage (NCBI taxonomy): Eukaryota > Metazoa > Chordata > Mammalia > Primates > Hominidae > Homo > Homo sapiens. Next base: position 228,137,472 of record NC_000002.12, on the reverse strand, counting down.
CAGAATCTCTTTTCATTAGAACTATCCTGGGAAATTCTTTAAATTATCTTCTCAGATGTGGCTTATCTCACCAACTGTCAGCACTGCAGAAAATTTAGCATTAAATTCAAACACTTGTTTGTGCCTAATTTTTGAGGTTAACCAGGATGCTCAGAAAGATAAGAACATACAACTTCAATAAGTGCTTGTTGGGCATCTCCCACTGACTGGCGCTGTCCTGTGTCCTAAGTGATCCCCTGCCCTTTTAGAACTTACAGCCTAAACTGGAAAGAGACAAATATTACAAAATTGTATGCCTTTTGGACAAGTGCTAAAACAAGATATGGCTCAGAGTGCTGTTGGAATACACAAGAAGAGTGTCTCACTTCCTGGGTTGGAGTGGGGTGGGAATATGTGGGTGGGAACGAGGCAGGAGCGTAAGTGTGTTTGTGTGTGCATGGGGCACTGGAGGTGTGTGGGAGAGGAGAAGTGGCCTCCTTGGCAGGGGGAAGAGAGAAGGGAGGTACCAGAGGTAATTTATAAGCTGAGACCCAAAGGACAGAGTAGGAATTATCAAGAAGGGAAGGTGGGGACTAGGTAGAATATTCCTAAATGAAGTAATATCATGAGGATATTACACCCAAGCCTCTTTATCTCTGTTTGCCCCATCTCTTTTACTCTGATCTATTTTTCTCAGTATCAGAATGGTGTCCCACAGGCAAATGGAAGGTGAATTCAATTTAATATGTTACGTAAGTGTTTCTCAAACTCTAATGGATGTATAAATTACCTGAGTTTAATGTCAATATGCAGATTCTGATTTAGTAATTCTGAGTTTCTGGGTGTCTAACAAGCTCCCAAGTGACACCAATGCTGCTGGTCCGTGGACCAAACTTTGCATTGCAATGTATAGACAGCTCAGTTTCCAGTAACTGGATCCATCTCTCTCTAGGGAAATAACTGGATATTCCCTAGGCTATTTTCACTATTGATGTGACCTACTTCTTCATACTGCATGAGTCACTGCAGTGGTAGCAGTACAGTGGCAACTTAGCATCTCATTTATTAATATATGAAATTGTTCTATAAAGAAAGCTGCTTTATGGAAGTCTGGTTTAAAATCACTACTTCAAATTTGGTTTTGTGCCTTCTTTCCCATGTTTATGTACATCCTCATTGAAACACACTTAACGGTTTCAGCATGAAACCAGTTTGAAAGGTTGTGCTTAATAAATATTGTCAACACTTGTCAAAATCAAAGGAAAATCTCCCAGGGAAGAATTTGCCGGCTTACCCATTAGGAGCAAGTTATAAAGCTGTACTGTATCTTGACAGCAATTCTTTTAATGTCAATTTCAGCTCATTTTAATAAATGTATGAGTTTCATATCACTGCCATCTCTGCCTCATCCTGTAACAGCAAATGTTCTGCTTCTCTAGAGATCACGGACAGCATCATTGTAAATACTCTAAAAATTCTTTCTCCATCCAAAAGGTATGGGAACAGACTGGGCCATGTTGTAAAGTCACCTATTGGAAATGCACACTCATATTACATGCTTTAAAACATAAGCCTACCTACATTTTCTTTGATATTAGGCATCATTAAAGTGATATACAATATGTTTCAGAAGATGCATTTGCTTTAAATATGGGTGTAGTGAAGTTGCATTACACTTGTCATCTAGTAATGCATTAATTTTTGCCCCACCATGTGACTCAACTTCCTCGTTTAATACTCACAACAATGAACAACTACATAGGTGCATATATATAGTTAAATTTATTTATTAATGCTATACAGGCTTAGCATTAGAACAAATGGCATCAGCCTTGCAGGCAAGCAAAAAAAAACTTTCTAATTCCCTTCCATAACTTCGTTTTCAACTAGGATTGTACAGTCACCTTAGAGGCAGAAAAACTTTCATACCAAGATATCTGTAGGTAGACTTGCCATTACTTCCTTCTATTAGATGAGCTCAGCAGTTCTTAAACTTTTGGGTGCATAAAAAGTACTGTAGCAGATTGTCTATCTAAAGCCATAAATAAAAGTGCTTCATGGGCAAATAAGTAGTTTTCAAGGCCGACCTTTTAGTTTTCTCTATTTTTACATCACCCCAATTTTGGACCTAACCATCTCTGCCCAATTTAGATGTGATTTCTTTCTAGAGTGACCAGAGGCTGTTGAAGTGCTTTTTTGCTTTTTTTTTTTTTTTTTTTGAGACAGAGTTTCACTCTTGTTGCCCAGGCTGGAGTGCAATGGCACGATCTCGGCCCACCACAACCTCTGCCTCCTGGGTTGAAGCGATTCTCCTGTCTCAGCCTCCTGAGTAGCTGGGATTACAGGCATGCACCACCATGCCCGGCTAATTTTGTATTTTTAGTAGAGATGGGGTTTCTCCATGTTGGTCAGGCTGGTCTCGAACTCCCGACCTCAGGTGATCCACCCACCTCAGCCTCCCAAAGTGCTGGGATTACAGGCGTGAGCCACTGCACCCGGCCTTGAAGTGGTCTTTCTACGACGTTTCATATCTGGAAGGAGCGGCCTGAGGTCTGTGTCAGCCTTTCTTCTCAGTTTGCCCATTTCCTACTCCTGCAGTCTCCAGCCCTGCGAAAAGTCATGGGAGATGTCTTAGTACTGGGCATAAGTCCAGGGATGGCCTGCATGAAAGGGATCTACTAGCCCATCAGAGCTGCCTGGAGGACACAGTAGCAACAGGACACAGAGCTGTGGGACCCTACATCCTGTCTCTCTGAACTGCACACAGGGCCTTGGCTGGCTCCTAGAAGGAGTCATATAACTTGACTTAGAGGTCAAGTTCAAAGTTAGCTTGGTGCATGGCCTTATCTTCCACATGTAAACTATTTAGAACCTAACAATAATAGCTGTTCGGCCTTTTGGTAAAAGCCAAACTGTCCTGTGGACAAGAAAGCATTCAAAGAGATGTCCACGCTTGGGTAAGTAAGTGGCAGCCTAAAAAGTTATAGGCCCACATTGTAGGAAACCTGTAAAGATAGGGGCTGAAAACTTAGGACATCTCTGATATTTCGCCAAGTGACTTCCAGAGCCATGAGGGAACCACACACTTTAGTCCAAACATGTCATTTATAAATGATGAGACTAAGACTCAGAAAGGCTAGGTGGCAGAATAGGTCAGGATTGGCAGCCAGGAAATGGAGCTAATTTCTTTTTCCTGCTTTCTTCCTCTGTTTCTTTCCTTCCTTCTTTATTTCTTTCCTTCCTTCCTTCCTTCCTTCCTCCCTCCCTCCTTCCCTTCCTTCCTTCCTCGCTCCCTCCCTCCTTCCTTCTGTCTTCCTCCCTCCCTTCTCTTCCTTTTCTTCCTCTTTCTTTCTCTTTCTCTTTCTTTCTCTCTCTCTCTCCCTTCCTTCCTTCCTTTCTTTACTTCTTTCTTCTTTCTCTCTCTTTTTCTTTCCTTCCTTCCTCTCTTCCTTCCTTCCTTTCTTTTATCTTTCCTCAGCTAAGCAAAGATAATATGGGTGTTATCCTTTCATGTGCATTAGGTTCACTCTAGCCCTCAAGTGACAATTGCTCAAAAAGTAATATATAAAAAATTTTAACAAAACAGATTTTATTTTAATTACTCTGTGCAGATTTTGCCTGAATCTATGATTTGTTACACAGCACAGTCAGTGGTCATTTTTTAAAATGTCATTCCATAATAATGGAAATGCCAAAAGGCTACACTAATGCCCTGTGTGACTTATGGCTAATTGAAAATTGATGAATTTAGTGCTTGAAACATGAGAGTTATAGGTTAGTTAGAAATAAATTGTTTATTTAACTGATCTTTTATTTAGCACTTGTTTTAAGAGAAACCATCTACATGTTGCATTGAAAATTTTATACAGAACTATCAGATTATGTTCCAAAAGTACATGTTAGTGAATTGTGCATGTTCTATGTGGTCAACAAGAACAAATATTAAACCAATAGACCTAAGCTATCAGTACATTTTAAAAGTCCAAATTATTATATTTTCAGAAGAAGAATATTTAGAAATGCATATAACATTTAGATAATTTTTTATATTTACATGAGGTTTAATTTTGAGTTTCCAGTCATATTATTTTAAAAGTTTGATAATAATTTTCATTTTTATCACGTGTTGAAAATGTAGAAGTAATTTATTTATTTATTTATTTATTTATTTATTTATTTATTTATTTGAGATGGAGTCTCACTCTGTGGCCCAGGCTGGAGTACAGTGGCACCATCTCAGCTCACTGCAACCTCCACCTCCTGGGTTCAAGCTATTCTCCTGCCTCAGCCTACCAAGTAGTTGGGACTACAGGCATGCACCACCATGCCCGGCTAATTTTTTGTATTTTAGGAGAGATGGAGTTTCACCGTGTTGCCCAGGCTGATCTCATACTCCTGAGCTCAGGCAATCCACCGGCCTCGGCCTCCGAAAGTGCTGGTATTACAGGCGTGAGCCACCATGCCCGGCCTTTTTTGTTTGTTTGTTTTTTGTTTTTTTGAGACAGGGTCTCACCCAGGCTGGAATGCAATAGCGGGATCTCAGCTCACTGCAACCTCCACCTCCCGGGTTCAAACGATTCTCATACCTCAGCCTCCTTTGTAGCTGGGATTACAGGCACATGCCACCACACCTGGCTTATTTTTTTTTTTGTATTTTTAGTAGAAACAGGGTTTCACCGTGTTGGCCAGGCTGGTCTCAAACTCCTAATCTCAAATGATCCGCCTGCCTCAGCTTCCCAAAGTGTTGTGATTACAGGCATGAGCCACCATGCTCAGCCAATTTTAAATATTTTTAAAATATTTATGCAGCTCTGTACGTAGTCAAGCCCATTAAGAAGATTTGACAGAGACAGGGGGAGGGATATAAGTCTATAATTTTGGAGATAGAGAATTTGAGGAGCTATCTCCAGCCGCAGGAATGGTAAAGACATTACCTGCATTTTCTAAAGTCCACATTTCTTTTTAATGGTACTATTCTGAGTCCAGATTAAAATTATATTTTACCTCCATTTTAAAAAATAAAATGAATATTTTGTTATGTGTTGGTGTTTTCAGAGCTGAATTAATGTGGCAATTGAGAAAAATTTATTTGGGTTTTAAAGCTGCTTGCTTAAGAGAAGATGCTAACAAGGCCAGTAGTCAGACAGATGCAATGATGTCCATCAAAGCACTGTGGAAGGCATTGGGCTGTACTTTCATGGTCACAGTAGGATCGTCTGTAGTGGTTCTGCCAATTACAAAAGTGTATGCAACAAAGAAATGTCCATTTCAGCAGGGGGATTTGCAGTGTTTAATGCAATCTGAAAAAGATGATTTTTGATACACCATGTTGTGATTTACTTATTATTTATTTCCAAATATAGATATGACTCACTGGAATGTGTTTTTGTGTTTTGGGTCACAAACAGCAACTTGGAGTCATCACGGATGTATGACGTTTTGGAACCGCAGCAGGGCAGAGGCTGTGGCAGCTCAGGAAGCGGCCCGGGGAACTCCATCACAGCCTGTAAGAAGGTAACCTTGCCTTACGCCACTTTCTTCTTGTCAGTTGAACTTGAATATTCATTTAATTCGAAATTTTAAGCACTCTTCCTAAAGTAGAAACAACAATAAAAACAAACAACAAAATGGCTCACGGTTTGCTTTCCCAAGTAAGCCTTGATAACATTAAAATTTTAATTCATGGAAATGATGAGAAAATTCAGGCATAGAAAATCATAAGCCTCCACTGCCATACTATCTCAACCCAAGACTTTTCACCAGTACTTCTTTTTAAACTTAGCCATGAATAACAGTTTCTTGCATCTCCTTTCAGAAAAATGTTCATGCATTTTGAATGACTCAACATATTATATTAAGTTACTAAATCTGTATCTAAGAAAACTTTAGGGCTGTTTTGCTTTTGATATTTCCATAAAACAAAGGGTATGCTGGGCTTATTTTATTAAGAAAAACAGAATTGTATTTTCTAGAACATAGACTTAAGAGCTGATATAAAAAAAAAAAAGAAACTATGCTCTAAGATACTTGCAAAAACCCTTGAACAACATAAAATCATAGAATTTAACTACCTCATTTTCCCAGCCAATCAAATCTAAGGCCCCAAAACTTGAAGTAGAATGTCCACGATCCTGGTTCCCCATCTAATGCTTTTGTCACTGTTTGCTGCTGAATTCCAGGGAAGTATATGTTTCTTCTCATCCCAATTCAGAAGCAATCACAGTGAGTTATTTCATTTATTGCAAAAATATTAAATTATAAAAATTCTTATAGATGTAAATTAACACAAATGCTGTTACTAAGCATATTGTTATGTGTATGTATTGTGTATATATGTAATATACATGATATACATGCATATATATCTACACATATATATGTGTAGAGATATATATATGTATACCCAGTTAAGCAGCATTAATAATTCTCTGCTTGTGTGACTTTTGTATAAGTTTCTAGTTTTCAAGTATTAGAGAAATTAATCTGTACTGAAAAATATACTTATTACAGAAAGGTAGAATTAAACATAATTTTACAAAAGTATTTCCATCCATTCATTCATAACCAAATGTGAAAAAACTGTCTAATTAATTAAGGATTCTTATTAACACATGTTGTATGATCTATTATTCTTTCTCCTCTTATAAATTCCTACAAAGGAATTGGTGCTATAAATTCCACTTTTTAATGCAGGGAACTAAGGCGCTATAATTCAAAATGATTTCAAGTTATTCATAAAAGAGCTAATAGTTTATAAAACTATTTATAAAAGAGGTCTCCAACCTTAGGTATACTCTGTTGAACTCTATAACTCCAAATTATAAATGCTTCATCATATGCTGTACATTTTACAGGGCTAAATAACTTTTAGCTTATTCTAATTTTTTAAAATACATATATGTTTATTGATACAAGGTTGTATGGTATTTAAAAGAAGAATTGAATCCAGACTGCCTGAATTTAACAGCCAGTTTCATCATTACTTGTGCGATCTTGAGCACATGACTTTACTTCATATCTCAATTTCCTCATGTGAAAAATGAAGAAAATAGTATTATGTATTTTATAAGATTGAAGCAAGGACTCAATGAATTAATAGATGTGAAATGTTTACAGCAGTGCTTGGCACACTTCATGCACTCAAAATAAAGATCTCTATCACTAATATTACTCTACAGAAGAATATTATCAGCAAGCATACAGTCAGAGAAAATAATTCCATATAGGTATTACCATTCCTAGAGAGTTAGGGATTTATGATCTGTTATCTCAGCTACAGTTATTTCCCTGGAAAAGAGGTGGTCACATTTATTTCTTTAAAAACAAAATACCATCTAGAAGCTACTGAACTGAAAGGGCTATTTGGGCCTGGATGTCTACTCAAAAAATTAAAACTGGTGCTGGGCACGGTCGCTCATGCCTGTAATCCCAGCACTTTGGGAGTACGAGGTGGGCGGATCACCTGAGGTCAGGAGTTCGAGACCAGCCTCACCAATATGGTGAAACTCCGTCTCTACTAAAATACAAAAGTTAGCTGGGCATGGTGGCAGGTGCCTGTAGTCCCAGCTACTCGGGCGGTTGAGACAAGAGAATTGCTTGAACCTGGGAGGTGGAGGTTGCAGTGAGCCAAGATCACGCCATTGTACTCCAGCCTGGGTGGCAGAGTAAGACTCAGTCTCAAAAAAAAAAAAAAAAGAAAAAAATTAAAACTAAAGCTAATCTTTAATTCTAAATGACTTCATTAGCATATATATATATTTGTGTGTGTATGCATATGTTTAAATGTATATATTTATACATAAATATATACATTTACAAATAAGAATGTAAAATTTTAACATAATCTGACTCATTTCACAATTATTTCTGGAATAACTACTGGGAAATTGAACCATATTGAATTGTCTTTTTTACAGATCACAAATGATCAAATATAGGCAATTTTGTATGGCCCGACCTAAATACATTCAAAACTCTGTTAGATCTTGGGGAGAAATACAAAGATAGATCATAAATGACCCTCACCCTTAATGAATTCACAGCATGGTTTGGGATATAATACTGGTTTCTCTTGTAAAAAGTCATATCATAATTCATAAGTTAAACTATTATGTGAGACAACAACAGGCATGCCTTGTTTTACTCTACTTCACATTATTGGACTTAGCAGATAATGCATTTTTTATAAAATGAAGGTTTATGTTAATCCTGCATCCAACAAGTCCATTGGAACCACTTTTCCAACAGAACGTGCTCACTTAGTGATTCTGTGTCACATTTTGGTAATTCTCTCAATATTTCAAACTTTTCATTATTATATCTATTGTGGTGATCTGTTACCAGTGATCTTCGACGTTACTGTGATAATTGTTTTGGAAGCCATGAACTGCACCCAAATAAGATGTTGAACTTAATCAATAAATGTATGTGCTCTGACTGCTCCAAGGACACACCATCTTGTTAGAGGTTAATGCAGCTGGTAACTTTAAGTGACGGCCAATGCTCATTTACTATTCCAAAAATCCTAGGGCCCCTATGTATTATGCTAAATCTACTACCTGGGTTCTATAAATGGAATAACAAAGCCTGGATTGCAGCACATCTGTTTACAGCATGGTTTACTGAATATTTTAAGCCCCCTTTTGAAGCCTACTGCTCATAAAAAAAGATTCCTATCAAAATATATTACTGCTCATTGACAATGAATCTGGTCACTTGAGATCTCTGGTGGAGATATACATGGAAATTAATAATGTTTTCATGCCTGCTAACACAACTTCCATTCTGCAGCCCATGAATCAAGGAGTAATTTTGATTTTCAAGTGTTAATGTTTAAGAACTGCATTTAATAAGGCTATAACTGTCATAGATAATCATTCCTTTGATGGATCTGGGCAAAGTAGATAGAAAATCTTCTAGAAAGGATTTACCATCCTAGATGCTATTAAGAACATTTATGGTTCATGGAAGAAGGTCAAAATATTAACATAAACATGAGTTTGAAAGTTGATTCCAACTCTCATGAATGACTGAAGGGTTCAATGCATGTGGTTGAAATAACAAGAAAACTAGAATTGGAAGTAGGGCCTGAAGAATGACTGAATTGCTGCAATCTCCTGATAGATCTTGAAGGAATGAGGAATTACTTCTTGTGGAAAGAAAGTGGTTTCTTGAGATGGACTCTACTCCTAGTGAAGATGCTGTGAACGTTTGTGAAATGACAACAAAGGATTCAGAATATTACGTAAACTTAATTGATAACACAGCAGCAAGTTTTGAGAGGGTTAACTCCAATTTTGAAAGTTCTCCTGTGGGTGAAATGCTATTGAATAGCATTGCATGATCCAGAGAAATCTTTCATGAAAATAGAGTTCATCAATGTGGCGACGTTCATTGTTGTCTTATTTTAAGAAATTGCAACAGCTACTGTAACCTTCAGCGTCCACCACCTTGATCAATTAGTAGCCATCAACCTGGAGACAAGACCTTTCACCAGCAAAAAGATTACAACTCGCTGAAGGCTCAGATGATTGCTAGCATTTTTTTTAGCTACAATGTATTTTTAATTAATCTACATACTTTTTTGGTTATAATGCTATTTTACACTTAATAGACTACAATATAGACATAACTTTTATATGCATTGGGAAACCAAAAATTTTGTGAGTCCCTTTATTGTGATATTTGCTCTGTTGTGGGGGTCTGCGACTGAATCCACAATATCTCTGAGATGTGCCTATATAAATCCATAGAAAACAGATATTGTTTTCATTAAAAGCTACAAGCCAAGATCATCCTTGGATCTGCAATAGACATCGGCAAGTTCAGCAGAAGGTACTCAGAAGGATGATCAACATTTGAATTGAGAAAGAGAATATACACCCAAACTTGGAAAGGGCTGCTGCAAATTAGTGAAGAAGTCAGTACCTTTCCTGGTAATATATTTTTTAATATTTATAGCACATTCATTTCATTTCAAATATTCTGTCAAGCTTACATAATAATTGCATTTAAAAGACAATTTAGTAACTGTGTATGCCACTGTGGGGCTGCCATTGCTTACCTTCTCTTCAAAAGAGTAGTTCACCAATGTTTTCTTCTTCTTTGTATCCAGAACAAAAGCACCCAATAAAAAGTCATTTAACATTGAATGGTTTTATGCCTTTATTAATTATTTTATTATTAAATAATATTGCAAGCTAATTCTTTACAATCTTGTTAATCACAGATTACAGAACAGAGAAAGTGAAGGTCTGTGTGTTAAATGCACATGCAATGTATGTTCTGTATAAAAAAGGCAAAAAGAACAAGGACAGTTACATCTGAGAAGTAGCAAGGCTGTCCTGATAAACCACCACTCTTCACAGTCAATCAGCCTTCACTGAGAGTAACACGGATAATTGAAATCTGTCGGCAATTCCCCAAACTCATTTCATGTAATCGTGTCATCTTTTTCCTCATCAAATCTTTTTATTAGAACTGACATATTGCTAAATTAACTGGTGAGAGAAATAAAACAAGGGTCAAGACAATGCATTAGTTGGATAATCAGCCTCTGAAAAAAATTGCAAATTGACTGAATTTCTTTCACATGTTTCATAATGAATCTCTAAGGGTTTCAGGAATCCTACCCAGACACAATTGCTTGTGTTCCTCAAATTTCCTCTGCAGTATTGGAGAAATATGGTCCCTGGAAGCTGCAGCTCTGAAAAAGCCATAGCATCAGGAAAGAGACTTTGGTGTGCTTAGGGAGGAACTCTTCAATATATATTTTTGGTAGTGAGAGATGGCCTTTCCCCAGAGCTAGGATGACCATACCATACAGTGACAATTGTCATATATTGTCCTGGTATTTTGTTAAAGACCCCCATTTTCTCTCAAAAGTGCTTTGGTATACAAAATAACTTATATGGTCATCCCATCTCTGGCTTCGGAATTATCTTTTCTCTCCCTCTTTTTTAAGAGCTAGGAAGGTTAGATAAATTCACACTGAGGTTTTAGTGATTGCTTAATGGAGTGGTGACAATTAAGTTATGTTTGCTACTACTATTACCCCCTCCCTTAACTGACATTGATAATTGAGCCTATTGAACCTGGACATGACCTCAGAATTCTACTTATTACAAAGCTCTAAACAAACACTTTCAATCCATCCAGGTTGGAAAGTCAGCTAACCTCTATGTCACCCTAATTAATGTGCACTGAGACACAGGGGCAGTTTTAACATATGCAACATGATTTCCCAAAATAATGCATTTAAAATGATAGAATTACAAAATATTATAAGAAAAAATGGAAAAGAGCTGCTGGGTAGGGAGCCCTAAAGTTCTCCCCCTAGAATCCCTTGAATTATATTTATCATAAGCATTGTCTGATGCCCCCATCTCATACAACCACTCCTTTTTGTTGTTGTTGTTGAGGCATATCACTCTGTTGCCCAGGCTGGTGTGCAGTTGCGTGATCTCAGCTCACTGCAACCTCTGCTTCTTGGGTTCAAGCGTTTCTCCTGCCTCAGCCTCCCAAGTAGCTGGGATTACAGGTGGACGCCATGACACCCAGCTAATTCTTTTTGTATTTTTAGTAGAGATGTGGTTTCACCATGTTGGCCAGGCTGTTCTCGAACTTCTGACCTCAAATGGTCCACCCGCCTCGGCCTCCCAAAGTGCTGGGATTACAGGCATGAACCACCATGCCCAACCCAACCACTCCTTTTTATAAGAAAAATACAACCACCATTACTAAACTGAATCTAAGGGATTTTACACTAAATGAGCTAAATGATTACAAGTGTCATTCTTTTATATTTGTTTAAAACTAGGTGAAAATTCTTCCTAGTCTCTTTATAATAAATAAAAAAACTGTTATCTCCAGGGCTGCGGTGGGATATTGTGTATCAAATCTGGACTTGGAATTGAGAGACTTGAATTAGATCCCAGGTTTCTCTTCTTACTATATGTGGTTAGGCCGGTGATGTAACCTGTCTGACTCAGATTCTCTAAGGTTAGTGTGATACTTACATACAAAAAGGTTTGTGTATGCCCTTGGCACATAATTGATGCTCAATGAATATTAGTTCATTCTAAATAAATAATCTTTTAGACAAGGGAAATCTTTATTTAAATGAAATTTAAAAATGGATGTAAATGTAGCATGCAATGTGCCTCCATTATATTGAATTTCTGTTAGATTTTCCTTTCCTCTGAAAGCATTATATTCAATGTCATATTTCCACAATAGCTGGGCATTTCCAATCTATGCTTCACTTAGACTGAAGGTTTGCTATTTAGGATATAGTGAAACCGAGTCTCTGCATAGGATTCATGTGAGGAAAAACTTGTTGGAGAAAAATCAACACCTGGAATATCCCTCTCTTTTCATGTCATGTTAATTAAATGCACCTTAAACTTGGACTTACCAAAGGTGGCAGACTGAAAACACTTCAGGTTCCCAGAGGCAGAGTCTGATATTAATATGATATCTGAACAGCTTTATGAAGTTTCAAGAGCGTTCTTGGTCATGATTCCCCCCTTTAAACAGACTTAAATTTGCTGTAAACAGTGGCAAAGATATACCTGAAGAATGACAGAATGGATGTCCCCGGATGTTTCATTTTATTCTGCAAAATACACTTTCATCTAAGCTCATATCTTTTTGATAAGATGTAATTAATGAAAGCAATTTAATTAATGTGTTCAGGCACAGGCATACAAATCGGAAGGCTTTTTCACAGTGTGATCCATATCTCTAGAGACTTTTTTCTTTTTATACTTTAAGTTTTAGGGTACATGTGCACAACGTGTGGGTTTGTTACATATGTATACATGTGCCATGTTGGTGTGCTGCACCCATTAACTCGTCATTTACATTAGGTATATCTCCTAATGCTATCTCTCCCCCCTCCCCCCACCCCACGACAGGCCCTCGTGTGTGATGTTCCCCTTCCTGTGTCCAAGTGTTCTCGTTGTTCAATTCCCACCTATGAGTGAGAACGTGTGGTGTTTGGTTTTTTGTCCTTGAGATAGTTTGCTGAGAGTGATGGTTTCCAGCTTCATCCATGTCCCTACAAAGGACATGAACTCATCATTTTTTATGGCTGCATAGTATTCCATGGTGTACATGTGCCACATTTTCTTAATCCAGTCTATCATTGTTGGACATTTGGGTTGGTTCCAAGTTTTGCTATTGTGAATAGTGCTACAACAAACATATGTGTGCATGTGTCCTTATAGCAGCATGATTTATAATCCTTTGGGTATATACCCAGTAATGGGATGGCTGGGTCAAATAGTATTTCTAGTTCTAGATCCCTGAGGAACTGCCACACTGACTTCCACAATGGTTGAACTAGTTGACAGTCCCATCAACAGTGTAAAAGTGTTCCTATTTCTCCACATCCTCTCCTGCACCTGTTGTTTCCTGACTTTTTAATGATTGCCATTCTAACTGGTGCAAGATGGTATCTCATCGTGGTTTTGATTTGCATTTCTCTGATGGCCAGTGATGATGAGCATTTTTTCATGTGTCTTTTGGCTGCATAAATATCTTCTTTTGAGAAGTGTTTGTTCATATCCTTTGCCCACTTTTTGATGGGGTTGTTTCATTTTTTTCTTGTAAATTTGTTTGAGTTCTCTGTAAATTCTGGATATTAGCCCTTTGTCAGATAAGTAGATTGCAAAAATTTTCTCCCATTAGGACTTCATATCTAAAACACAAAAAGCAATGGCAACAAAAGCCAAAATTGACGAATGGGATCTAATTAAACTAAAGAGCTTCTGCACAGCGAAACAAACTACCATCAGAGTGAACAGGCAACCTACAGAGACATTTTTATTAGTCAGAGTTTCATTGCTCTTGGACAAGAGCCCCACCAATAATTCTGAGAAGCTAAGAAGTACTTTCACTGTGTTTCAAAGCTAGATATTCACATGATGGAAAATAGATATAATATTCTGTATTTGTAGAAGCTGTTTCTCTCAAAGAAGCAAGGACTTTAAGTATAAATAAATAAAATTAAAGAAAGATCAGCATTATTGAGCTTATTCACATCTCTATAGAAGGAAGACACAAGAATTTCCCCCTGGAGTATAAACAACTCTCAAGTCTCAAACACTCTCTTCTGACCTAGCAGCCTGTCAGTGGTCTTCAGGCTGATTTCTGATACCAGAGAATGGCCTAGCCAGTTTTTGCAAAACAGCTGGATGTTCTGTTTTATCACCATTCTGCAAGAGTAATCAGAAGCATTGAAGAAATGGGGATATTTTTAAGAAAAAAATAGAGAATTATCCTACTAAAAGTGACATTTAAGGAAAGCTAATCTGATCGTTTTCAAGAGAATTCCTTAAAACAAAGACAGCTTGCAATCTGGGATCCCAGGAGGGGAATACTGGATGGGGATAGGGATAGCAGAGGAGAGGGGAGGTGGAACCAGTGTAGGGGTAGTGGATGGAGAGAAAAAGAAACCTGGGTGAGATACCTTTGGCAGTCAAGATCAGGAGGACTCTTTGGCCGTAAGGGCTGAACAGGAGAATGACTACTTAGGCTAAGATGTTTATGAGTGGTGGTACATCTGAGACCATTGGGAAGGGGGCACTGGGAGACAGAGAGGAGAAGCCATGAGTTCAGATTCAGCCCAGTTGCATCTACAGAGCCAGCCACCACATTCCCTCTGGAGGCGATTTCATTCACCATCTAAGAAAACCTCTGTATGCCCTGAGCCACATCAACATCAGGGTTGTACTGAGGACAGAATGCAAGTAATAAAACCTTTGATTAAGGGCTCATTTTCTCTTCCTTCAGCAAAAGCAGGTCAAGAATGGCTTCTCTCGCCTTAAAGGCAACCAGGTCCACGCAGAAACAGAGAGGTGGGACTGCCTGTGTTGCATGGACAGCTCATCCTCTAGAAGATGTCAATGTGGTGACCCTAGGTGGGAAAATTTTAAGCCACCAGTTATGGTTGTTTTGCAGTTTGAATACAATTCAGCTTCTTATTCCGAAGTCAGTCTGTTTGAGGACTTCTCTTCTGGACTCTGAACTCCACTCACTTCTCGTTGCCTCCAGCAATTTTTTCTGTACAGTGGTGACAGTCCAACATGCCAACCTTGTTCTGTTCTCTATAGCTCAGTTCCTTGAGCATCATTTTCACTGTGTGTGAAGAGCCCCTGGAAGGAACCTGCAGGCTGTTACTTTTTTCTTTTTAAAAAAAAATCAAAAGGGGGGACTCTGAAAACTTCAAATAGCTTAGAACATTTTGTGGAGTTGAGGCTGATGCTGCACTGCTGGAACTAGGCAAGTGATCTGTTTTTCTGAATTCCTGTGGTCATTCCCCCAGGCCTTTTATATATTGTGTATTAAATATATCTGTCCAGAAACACAACAAGTTTACATTGAATATATCTAATCTGGCATTAAAAATTCTCCTTTTTATCTTTCGGTACTTAAAAAAAAAGACTAGCCAACCCTGCTCCCTATCACTGGCCTCAAGGTCTCCTCTGTTTTCTTTCAGTCCCTCCTCTAAGAAAAGTTCCCAGCATAGTAGCCTGGAGTAGACACTGCATTCCCCACCTGTCCTCATAGCATCCATCTTTCTCATATCCTGCCAGACTCACCCTTCTGATTAAAGTGCCAGTTTTCAGTCCTGCCAGTGTCAAAGTGGGAAGGAATAACATGGCTCAGATAAATTGGAACATGTCTCTACAAGGGACCTTCTGGCTCATGATCCCTTACAATGAGCCCTCTCCTTTGCATGCTAACATTCACTAGGCACATCTCTGCCTTTTGAGAAGGGAACTCACTCTGAAAGACTCATATCAGGGCTCATACTCTCCAGGATGGAAAGCATCCAAGAAACAGATATATCCCTTCACAGATTATGTGCCCATCTGCATGCATCTTAAAAGGCAGTTGTTTCCTGTAGCTTTTTCCCAAGAAGAGAAGAGTCAGAGAAAAGAGAACTGTCTCTTTTTTATTTTATTTTATTATTTTATTTTGTCTTGCTCTGTCACCCAGCCTGGAATGCAGTAGCGTGATCATGGCTCACTGTGGCCTCGAACTCCTGGGCTCAAGTGATCCTCCCACCTCAGCCTCCTGAGTAGCTTGGACTATAGGTGCAAGGCACCATGCCTGGCTAATTTTTTGTTTTTATTATTTTGTAGAGACAGGGTTTCACAATATTGCTCAGATTGTTCTTGAACTCCTGGCCTCAAGTCATCCTCCTGCCTCGGCCTCTCAAAGTGCTGAGATTACAGGCCGGAGTCACTGCAGCCAGCCATATCACTTGTATTTTAATTGCCACAGTCCAAAGGCATGCACCAATACTCAAGAGATACGTGGCCATTAAATTCATTGTCCCTTTGTCTAGTGGCAAATTCTTCACTACCTGTACTTTGCATACCAACACAAAATAATCCAAAGTCAATGGAAGGCTTTCACGCACTTCATATATTTTCCTACATGTGTGTTTCTTCTTATATTTTCCTTCACTTAGCGTTAAAATCACATTCCCTTCACTGATAGTATAAATATTATAGCATTATGCTGACTCTAAATAACAATTAATCAGCTGTCCTCTATTTATGTGTCTAACTTGATTCTGCTTAAACCATTGCTGATCATTCATAAATTATACTATATTTGCATTTCCTGAGTGTATCTGTTTTTGTAACTCTTGCATTTTATACTTGAGACTCAAACGCAGTTACTGCATTCGTATGGATAAAGCTCTGATCAACTTTCAAAGCCTTCTTCAGCCAGCTGACATCTGTGTGATATGACAGAAGTAGTGTGGCTTGATACTTCTTTTCCAGTCCTCATCAGTTCCCAAGCTCTAACTAGTCCTCTGTACTCTTATTCTTTTGACAACATTAAGATACAGTGTAGCTTCCAGAATATGAGTAATTGAGTGGCACAAGAAAAATAGGGAGATATCTGAGACTGTGTGGAAGCTATGCAGGTCATTTCTTGCCATCTTAGGATGCGTTCTGGCCCAGGGTAACATACAAAGTCTCTAAATTACATATATGGGGACATAAATTCCGAAGAAAGGAGGGCTTTTGTTCATAAAGCATCTCCATTTTGTGCTCAAATTATATCCTTATGTGATATTTGTCAGAGATAAATGCTCCATAAAACAGTGTAATCCATATTTATTTACCAGAAGCAAACTTAGACCAGGTATATATTGCAAAAAGCATTTCATAGATAAGGACTCTCCTACTAGAAAAACACAATTAGTTTATCTGAAGGTCACTCATTTGTATGTTTATCATAAGATGACACGTTTACCTTTTCTCTTCTCTGGTAGTCTTCCCTCCTACCCCCCTTCACAGTAAAAGGAGAGAATGAATGGTAGGCTCACTAATAACCATTTCCTTCCCAACCCTTCTAACTAATCACACCTTTGATCTGGTAAATTCTTCTTGATAACGGAGAATCATTTTGTTCCAAGAGCTAAAAGAACTCCATTATTTTACAACACTTTTAAAATAATCAGTTACAAAATTTCTAAATTTTCTTAGGTGTCAATGGTATAATGCATGAATGCTTTACATCCAACCAAATAGAATTACAGAATATGTCATATGAATAATAAAATAATATTCATACTTTGGAAGCAATTTCTCCTTTTTGTCAAAGGAGGATAATACACAAGGACTCAGGCAGTCATCCAATAAAATCATCATTAAGAGAAAAATGTTATCCTAACATTTAATTAAACCTTCTGAGAAATGGAGACTAACTCACTCAGTTTCTGATGCCAAATTTTTTCTTTCACACAATAATTTTATTTCCATTTTCTTTTATTGTTTCTTCTTAGTAGTTCAGTGTGCTTTAAATAGGCATTTCACAGTTTCCCTGTGAAATAATGGAAAAGTATTTATATCCCAGAGTAGAAAACAAAAGACTATAGAATTCTCAGAAAGTTTGCTATGGCGTAAGCTAAATCAGCATGAAGTTAAATGTATAAAATTACATGAAACCTCCTGACTTCTAGTCCAGCATGAGAGAGAGAGAGAGAGAGAGAGAGTGTGTGTGTGTGTGTATACTAGGCTTTTAAACTATTATAAAATATTTAAGTCAGCAATTAAGCATTAATTAAGCCAGTGACTAAACTTTGCAAAATTATACTAAAAATGTTTTGTAGACTCTTAGAATGCTTCAAGACATTAAAGAATATCTGGCCCAGCTCAGCAATGAATGTCTTTTCAATGAAGGATAAAAGATTCTTTTCCCACTACTGGGAACCTTCATTTCCCATCACTTCCTCCACCACTCATTCTGCACCAGCCATTTACTGTCCTTCAAACACACCAGGCACACTCCTGCTATGAACGTTTGCCTTCCTCAGTAATCTCTGCCTGGGAGGCTGCTCTGCCCTCCGATGGGAGTGTGGCTGGCTTCTCACTTCATTCAGATCTCTGCTCAATGTCATCCTTAGAAAGGCCTGCCAAGATATACTTTACAAAATAGCACCCCTTATTTCCTTATCCCTTTAGTTATTTTCATAATAGTTATTTATTTTCATAGTAGTTTCATTATCTGACATATATGCTTATTTATAATTTATGTGATTATGACGTGTCCTCCTACAACAGAATGAAAAGGAAAATGGTTTTTTTGTTGTTGTTATTCTTGTTTTGTGCACCAATGCTCCAGTTAAATAAACAGTGCCTAGTACAGACAGCAGGTGCTTAACAAGTAGTCGAATGAAAGAACGAATGAAAACTTAATATGGATGGCATTATCCTTGTTTTATAATAGCATTCCAAAGCTAACATTAAATATAGAGTCTAACTAATACTTTTGAATATGATATGAGCCAATATGGAATCCATGCTTAATTTTTTATTTTAAAAGTATCTTGAAAAGAAAAAAGATATCTTAAAATGGAAAGTAAAACAAACCGCAAAGAAATACCACTATCACCTGTTAGAATTACTAAAATAAATGTAAAAGCAAAAATTGACAATACTGAGTACTGACAAGGATAGGGACAAGTTGGACTCTCATACCTCGCTGGTGGAAATGGAAAATGGTAAACCCACTTTAAAGGACATTTTTTCAGTTTCTTATAAATTTACCATATGACTTAGTAATTTCATTCTTGGGTACTTACCCAAGAAAAGCAAAACCTTAAATTTAGACATAAACCTGTAGGCAAATGTTTATAGCAGCTTTATTTATATTTGCCCCAAACTGAAACAACCCAAATTTCCTTCAGCTAGTGAATGGCTTAAAAAAAAAAAAAAAAAAAAAAACTGTGTATCTCCACAGAATGGAATGCTACTCAGCAATAAAAGAAAACAAGTGACTACTCATGCATATGATAATATAGACGAATCTCAAACTCATTATGCTAAGAGAAAGAAACAGGTCATAAAAGGCTACGTATTATAGGACTCCATCTGCATAACATTTTAGAAAAGGCAATATTTTAGGGATAAAAATCAAATCAATAAATTAGAATAAAGCTATAATATTGTGTAGGGATACAAATCAGATCAATAAATTAGAATAAAGCTAAAATATTGTCTTTTTATCTCTTAGTATGTCACAATTTTTTCCCTTAATTTGTCACTATTTTTCACTTATTCAGGTCCTCTTTTCAATGAACCAATAAAATTTTGCAATTTTCTTTATTCACCTTCTACAGAAAAAAAAAAAAAAAGGAAAGGAAAGAAATCAGATCAGTTGTTGCCAGGGGCTGGGACTTAGGATACCTTTAACTAAAAGGAGAAGGATGGATTTGAGGAAGGTGATGAAACTGTTCTATATCTTGATTCGGCTGCTGGTTACACAATCATGTGCATTTTTCAAAACTCATAGAACTTTACACATAAAAAGTGAATTCTGTAGGAATGTGGTATCTCTATCAAGAAAATGTTACCTGGAGTAAAGATGTCATTATCTTGCCAAGCAAATAGGTCAAAGTGTCTTAGTACTTGCCTTCATTCCAATCATCTCTTCTCCATTTTCACCATTCACTATTCAAGTCCAATGAGCCACTCACATCGCAGTCTTCTTGTGTAAGAAAATGTAACTGAGTGCCCTAGAAAGAGCCTAGAACTACAACAGGAGCCTGGAGAGTCTCCTCTGAGTGATGCCCATGCCTCTTCCAATGGGCTTCTCTGGCTCCCTTTATTTTACTGCTCCTCTAGCTTTTTCTCTCCACATCTCCAGCACACATTCATTAATAATTTGTGTCTCATTCGAAAGTTAACATCACACCGTCCAAAGTTATCATCAAGTATAGAGTCTAATAAATGTATTCAAGATATGTTGATAAGAGATTTTGATGTCTAACAGCAAGCAGCTGCTCTGTACCAATGGCATGTAGGGAGAAAAGTGTGGGACACAAATTGAATACGTATATACTTACATAATACTCATAGATAGTGGGAAGCATGCACCTTCCAATATTCTGAGGAAGAAATTTTGTTTGTATTACAAAGACTTTACAAGAACAGAGAAATATTTATATTGGGACAGGCTCAGTTTCAGTTATATCTTGAGGGTTGGGGAAGAACATTGATGAAAACTTCAGGGAGCAGGTGGAATGATATGAAAAAAATGTGTGCATCATAAAGGCTATATGGTAGAGCTGTTTATTAAACCTGTGGATTATAGCAGAGCATTTATGGAGGGAGATAATCTGAGACAAAGCCTAGGAAATGTCTAAATTGGGCAAAATGCAGTATCTTAAACATTGGAGTTTAGTCACTGTTTATCAAAAGATTAGCAAGAGAGAGCTGAATTAGAATCTGTTCTGTCTTGAATGCTAGCCTATTGTTTGGCAAAAAGCCCATAAAACTTTGGGCTCACCCACAGCAAATATTGTCCCTCTGTCTTGTTTTGCAAAACCTAGCTTAGTTTCTGACAGGATTAGAAGGTCCTCAGTCATATTTATTGGATCAGTTAGTCAATTGAAGTTAAAGTCTTATGAGAGAATTATATAACATTAGTAATAATATTAGTAATAACAATAGCTGCTCTTTGTGAGCACTTGAAATAATCAGATACTATGTGCATTCATTATTTCTAATGTCTGCAAAAGATTCCTCACTGTGAGTAGAAATACCACTCTCATTTTCGGGAAAACTGAGTCTCAAAGAAGTTAAGTGACTTGCCTTGCGTTGAACAGTTAAATAATGGAAGAATTGGAATTTGAAATCAGATTTGTCTTCAAAGCTTACATTTTTATTCTTTGTTTTGGTTTTAGTGAGCTAGATGGATTTCAGAGATAAGGAAGACAGAGAGATGAGAGAATTACAATACGAACACATAGGACCTTTGTGTGTGTCCAGCTTTCCCTAACTTCCTTTCTCAAGTATCATCTCTGTTTTAGTTTGTCAGAGCTGCTATCACAAAATACGTTAAACTGTGTAATCTGCAAACAACAGGAATTTATTGCTCACAGTTCTAGAGGCTGGAAAGTTCAAGATCAAGGTGACAGCAGATTCAGTGTCTGATGAAGGCTCATTCTCCATAGATGGTGCCTTTTTGCCATATCCTCACATGGGAGAAGGGCAAAAAGCTTTCAAGCCTTTTTTTATAAGGGCACTAATTCCATGCATGAGGGCAGAGCCCTTTTAACCTAATCACCTCCCAAAGGCCTTACCTCTTAATGCTAACACATTGGGGATTCGATTTTAACCTATGAGTTGGTGGGGTGGGTGGGGAGAGAGGAAGACACATTCAGACCATAACAATCCCCATCCCTTTTATTCCCTATCACTGCACTATGTTTATTTCTTCATGATACCCACCACAGTGTGTAATTAAGTGTGTACTTCAATGCTCCCTTATTTTCTGTTTGGCCCCCATGCCAGATATTAAGTTCCATAAATATGGAGACTGGTTACATATTACTCACTGTTGTATTACCTGGAGAGTAATCCATGGTATGCACTAAAAAATTGCTATTTTTTAAGTAATTGAAAGAACTTAAATAATTGCTAATTGTTAAGTAATTTGCTCTCCAAATTAAACTTTGGAGAGCAGACTGTAAGACAGGAAATAGATAAAGAGATGTTCCAGATAGCACCAAATTTTCAAGCCAGGGTAACTGGGAGAATTGTCCTGATATCAACTGCAAATAGGGAAGTCAGGAAGTCAGGTTTCTTTCAGGCACTGGAAGTGGGGAAGGAGGGAGTTTGTGTGTAGACATGAATAGTCCAAGGTGACAGCAAGAAATCCAAAAGTAATAACTAACAGGAGTGCGAAAAGCCAAGCTCTACAGAAAGGTTAAACCTGGAGCTACAGATCAGCAAGTCATCCCTCCAGGTGGTAATTAATTCCCTGAGACTCTGCAAACGATAAGGAGATAAGGAAAATGATTGATGGGAGTAGAAACACCAACACACTGATGAGCAAACTATAAGGAATACTTATATTTATGGCACCTGGGTAGGAAAAGAGAGACATGTCTTCTCCACCTGCCCTGATACATCCAGACAACACAAATCCACCTTTCAACGCTCTAGTCAAGGGCCAAGCCCTTTGCCATCCCCTCCTCCAGGGAGAACTGACCAGTCCATCCTTGGTGATAGCTGACCTGGATTGTCTTGGATCAAAGCACCAGATTTCCTTTATCACAGTCAGAGTGCTTGTTCTTTCTCTAGAAGAGTTATCGCTCTTAATATTCTCAGTGCTGACATCAAAAAAGCTCAATGAGCATTGGTTGACTGATATTGACTGAAGGAGAGTAGAGAAGTAGGAGAAGAAAAATGAGAATGGCACATCACAAATTATAAATAAAAGAAGAGGAATTGTCAAATGTTGTGAAGAGGCCAAGAA
This sequence comes from Homo sapiens, assembly GCF_000001405.40. NCBI lineage: Eukaryota > Metazoa > Chordata > Mammalia > Primates > Hominidae > Homo > Homo sapiens. The sequence continues at coordinate 228,114,702 of NC_000002.12, read as the reverse complement.
AATGTTCGATGAAACAGATATTGTCTAAATTTTCCTGCATTTCTGATACTAATAGCAACCACGTATCAATTGCATACTCTGTTGAGGCTAGCCCTTTACAAGCATGTTCTCATTTGATCCTTAGAATAAACTTCTGAAATGTCTTTAATTATCTTCATGTAATAGACGTAAAAACTAAGTCCCACAGAAGTTAAATGACTTGCCCAAGCTCATTCAGTAGGATGAAATGGGATTTAATTTCAGTTCTGCCTCCAAACCTCCAAGATTAATCACCAGTCACTGTCTTCTCCAATTTAAATTACTTAAAAAATATTAAGACATTGCTCAGTCATGTTTGGGGCTGTGTCCAAAGTCTATTTCTCCCTCTCTGTCTAATCAATACTAAATTTCTTCAACTTGGTTCTCTATATAAAAAGAAACGTAACTGTAATGTAGAGCAAAAGGATCTTCCTAACCTTATTTGCTGAACTCATGAAATTTGAAAAGAAAATGTGCCATTATTATTTCAAATTTGTGAACACACAAAACATTCATTATTAGCTCTTCATCTAAAATAAGTCCATAACTAAAAATAGCAGACAAATGAGCCATTGAGAGCCTGGTGAGTTTTTCTCTTTTCCTTCTCAGAAAGCAACTCTCTCAGCAGGGAGAATATATTCATAAAGCTTCAAAATTGTTGAATTCTCAAGCACATATTCTTCCTTCAAGCATTCTTCTTTTCCTAATGATTTGTCCAAGCCATGAAACTAAAAGCTTTTCACAGGCTAAAATTGCTTTATATATGATGCTAAGTGGTTTACTGAAGTCTGCATTTTTATTCTCTTTTACTTATTTGGCTCTCAATGCATACTATTTGAGAAAGGGAGAGGGAGGAGGAGCAAAAGAGGAAGGGAGGAGGAGACTTACATGGTATTTGGTATAGAAGTGGCCTTCAGATCATTTGCTTTAATTGTTTACCAAAGGCAAAGGGAGGCTGGGAGCTAGTGGACTTAACTACACAGTTAACAAGGAGTCAGGACTGGAATTCAAACCTCCTGAACACACCTGAGCTCAGAGAGAGAGAGAGAGAGAGAGAGAGAGAGAGAGAGAGAGAGAGAGATGGCTAAATGCATAGACTGGGATTTGGTAGAAGCTGAAAATGAGAAGCTATATAATTTCAATGGAACACTGCCTTAGTGGAGGCTCTAATGTCTGGGAGCCTGACTGAAATTCTCGTTCTGCAAAAACTAGATAAAGTATTGATCCCTCTAAGCCTGGGCAAAGGAAATAGTAACTATGATGATAGCTAATGCCTATCGGGCACTTAGGATGCACCAGGCACTGTTTTAAGAACCTTATCTATGTTAGCCTTGAGAATTTACCTCACAAGCCTAGAAATTTAATTCAGATAATAGTGTAGGTTAGGATGTTAGCCCAGACAGTTCTCAATAAATGTACTACTATTTGGTCAATAATTAAAGAATATAAATATTTAATAATGAATCATCTAAATGTTAATGAAATTTATGGAAAAATATATCTTATTTTAATTACTGATATAATCAGATTAACTAATTTTTAACGATGATAAAATTAAAATTTTAAAGTTGCATGTATGTGGCAAATGAATATTCTCACCAAACAAAGAAGCTCTCGTCCAAACATTTCTTCTTAAGCACGGCAAGATTTAGGTTTTATTTTAAATTCCAGTTCCTTATTCTGCTGCTTCCGTTTCTTCTAAAGCAAAGATGTGCTTTAGGAAAGATGCACAGTATCCCAGGGAAATGGAAGAGTCAAATGAGAAATCTTTCTAGAATTTTTCATTGAATGAGCAGGTCTCTAAAGCACTTCACATTTTCCTCACTTCTAGGATAGGACAGAGCAAGATCTTTGTATATTTTTAGTTATTTATTTTTAAAATAGGTTCAAAAAAAATCTTTAAAATATCTGCTGAGGACTCGGCAGATTAATCTGTCTGTGCACATTTCTCTGTTAGAGAAGTTAAGTGCAGGTGAAATCCCACAGGTAGCCAGCTCTTCTCCCAACTAGCCTGGTCTGCAGACAGCCCCTTTCATAGCTCTGGAATCTTCGCAGTGGGAGGTTTCAGACTGATGACTTTTGGCAAGTCCCCCTCTGCCTGTCTGTGTTTCACCACGAAAATGTACCCACCCAGCACACCAATTTTCTGAAAGCACCAAGTGAATTGCGTTTCGAACTCTGTCACCTTCCTAAGGCTGATACCGATAAGTGACAGTTGCTTTTCTCTGTTGAAATATTTTGTTGTAACCATGGTATTATGTGTCCTAAATATCTTAGAATGTAGACAAGGTGCAGGATATAATTTTGAGTAGTGAGCTCTAGAATGACTAAGAAGTGATTCTTAGTCAGAATGTTTGTTAAACTGCATTGTAAGACATTATTAACTAGTATATTCATTTGATGCCTGTATTTTACACTTGATCTTAGCCAAAAGGCCAAGAAGCGATGATACCTGTATTTTAAATCTTTAATGTTCTTATGACACAGAGTTAATGAGTGCTTTGTTTTATTGATGGGTGTTCCAAAATCTAGGGATCACAGAAAGGCAAGGAGCAGAAGCATGATAACATCAGTTGGCTTAAAGATAACTCAAGTAGGTGTAAAAGCATCCTTTCCTTTGAGAAATTAAAATACTGATAATACTTGCCAAGTAGATTAATTACATTATATAATTTACATCACAAAAAGTTTCCTCTCTTTCAAGAAAATTGTCACCTCAGAATTTCATTAATGGAAAACTAACTTTAAAATGGAAGTCCATAAGAAAATGTAGTTTTATTTACAAAAAAAAATAGATGCAGATAAGTTTTTGGAAACCTACCCCAAATCATACCCATTTGTATGGGTATATAAGACAGCCCTCTTCTGTAATTTCACATCCAAAGTCAGGCTCTGAACAATTTGGGGCAGAAATTCATATCTCTCTGAGACTCAAGGTCTTCATTTTCAACCTGAAAATTTCTGTAAAGATTTGTATCTTTATAATAATTCCTACCATAGGGCATTGCAAAAAAGATTAAATGAAAAAGTAAAAATATACATATAGGAAAATTTTAGCACAACTTCAACATATTCTAAGCATGCAAAAATAGTAGCTGTAACTATTAATACTACAAAATGCATAACTAAAATTACACCTTAGACCAGAATATTTGCTAAAGAAAATTTGCCATCACACATCTGAAATATTTTCAGTCCTGTCATTTCAGACAGAAGGCATCCAATGTTCTATTATCCTTTTCAGCCACCTTCAAATAGTAACAGTAAAACCCAAGTTCTGAGAGAATAGCTTACCGTTTCCATGGCACAGTGTTTCACATATATCATCTCACTGAATACCCTCAGTGATCCCACCAGATGAGTAGTACCTGCATTCACAGCTGTGGAAACTGAACCTCAGGGTTTAAGTCATCTGTTTGAGGTCATCCTGCTACTAATGACCAAGTTAGGATTTCAACTCAGTTAGACCAGTAATGTTGATGCTCTTAAACTCTATTCTATGCCTGAAATACAAGGGAAAGGCATGTGAATGGCATAAAGTGAAGTGGATTTAGAGCCTTTTTCTGCTTTAAATAAAGTTCATCTAGGTCAATGGTTTTCAATGTTTTTTAACTCAAAATTCTTTTGCACTCTAAGAAAAATATTAGGGACCTCAAGAAACTCTCGTTTAGAGAGATTATACTTATTGCTAATTTCCATATTACAAATTAAAGCTAAGAAAATTTTTTATTTTATTTTCAAATAAAACAGAATTTAAATTAAATAAATAAGAATTTGTTATTTGACAAAATAATTTTAAAATAATAATAAACACATTATCCTATATAACATATTTTTAAGAAAAATATTTGTTTTCCAAAACAAAACAAAACCCTTTAGCGAGAAGAGTGATTTCAATTCACATGTTTGCAAATCTCCTTAATGTCTGACTTGATACAAGACAGCTGAGCTGTCCTAGCTGCCTCTGCATTCAGTCTGTTGTGCTGTCACACATCATGTAGCCTCTGGAAAACTCCACAGAATATACATGAGACAACAAGAGCAAAAAGAACAAATAACATCTTAGTATTATTATCAAAGTAGTCTGATTGCTGCACTCTCTGAAAGATTTCAGGGACCCTGATAGGTCCTAGCCCATGCTTTAAGAACCAGTTTAGGTAAAATATTTAAGAGAACTGAGAGGTTCCCTAGCCAACGTCAGTCTGCAGTAATAATCCAAGTTTATCATTCAATTACTTGCTCATCCACAAAGGGTCTCTTTGTACTGTTCTGAGAAAGAATGATGAAAATTTATTAATGAAAATTTATCACTAATATAATAAATGATATTTTGATATGCGATTATATTTTATATTATTATAAATGATAACATTTATCATTAATAAATTTTCATTATTTTTAGATGAGTAATATTACTCATCTAAAATGTGTCACAATTAGATTTAGTTAACTGTATTCAGAGACTAAAAGTAATGTATTTCTGTCTTTACAGAAAAAGAGAAGACAATCTTTTGTTGTACGAATGAAATGTAATTGAAGTACTATCCTATTTTAGTGGCATTAACCAAACTGATTAAATCTGTTATGTTGCTTCAGTGAAAGTAGTAGTCAAGTATTAGCAGACACGTACCCTAATAAAATAGAGGGTACCAGAAAAGCACTGGGAATCTTTTAAAAGATGAAGAAAATGTGATACAATATTAGGCTTTTTTTTTTTTTTTTTTTTTTGAGACATTTTCACTCTTGTTGCCCAAGCTGGAGTGCAATGGTGTGATCTCAGCTCACTGCAACCTCCACTTCCCGGGTTCAAGTGATTCTCCTGTCTCAGTAGCTGGGATTACAGGGGCGCACCACCACGCCTGGCCAACTTTTTGTATGTTTAGTAGAAACGAGGTCCCACCATGTTAGCCAGGCTGGTCTCAAACTCCTGACCTCAGGTGATCCACCCACCTCGGCCTCCCAAAGTGCTGGGATTACAGGTGTAACCCACCACGCCCAGCCAATATTTGGATAATTTAAAGACATTAGCAGTTATTGATAATATTTCATCTTCAAAATATCTCAGCTCCAAAATATGCTTGTTCTTCCTTGCTTTAAGAATCCAAGACCAGAAATCAGATATTTGTCAGTCATATTTGGTTTTGTTAATTCATGTATTCCAATTATTTTTGCCATACCGTGCTATTTCTAAATGGCAAATGGTATTTAATGTAATTTGTTTATAAGTTATTTCTAACAACTTTTAAACTTAACATAGTACCTTAGGTGTTCTAGAAAAATTGTACACTAGTTCAAAGCTAAGTTAGCAGAACCAAAGAAGTGAAGAATCAATATTCCATCAATGAAAAACCCCATATTTTGTTAATTGAAAATACTTATGGAGTGTGAAAGAACACTAGCACTAAATGAAATTTGATCCCCATTGCCCACATAGCCATACCCCCAAAACAATCATTTGATTGCAAATTATGCAAAAGCTACACAATTGACATTTCCAGGTGTTGGATTTGATGAGAGAACATCTGTGTTAACATTAATGTATTTCTCTCAAGCTAATTCTAGGTTGGATATTTTATACATTTTAGAGGTGCTATCATCCTGCAAGTTTTTTTCTAACACCCAGAAGCTCTGAGGAAAAGAAAACACCTACAGGTTTTTTTATAAGAAAAAAAAAAAAGAGAGAGAGCTGCTGTTTAGATAGAAAGGATTGCCGAATAAGAACTGAGTTTTTCTGGGTTCCTCCAGGTTCTTCGCAGCAATAGCCTGCTGGAGTCAACAGACTACTGGTTGCAGAATCAGAGGATGCCCTGCCAAATTGGTTTTGTAGAAGACAAGTCTGAAAACTGTGCTTCTGTAAGTACACAGAATTCTTGGGATGTTGTCTGATAAAGCAGGGAAGCGGGCACATGTACCCATGTTTAGGACCAAAAGTTTCATAATTCATTAAATACCAAGTTGAGAAAATATTCCTTTGAAAATACATAGCGGGTTTATATGGACAGTTAACAAAATAGCATTCAGAGCTAATGTTTGTATCCCCATTTTGCTCATTTTAACAGGTAAGTTATCTAATAGAAAAAATGTTTATATTTACAAAAATGACTGCGAAAAAGATTCAGAAATAGAATTGTATGATGAGAAGTAGAAAGCCATTCAACAACTCTCTTGTATTCTTTTCAGTATATTTTATATCACCTGCTAGTAGGTATTTTCTAATATGAAAAGTGTCTACAAATGTTCCATCATTCTTATATGTTACAGTCATTATTTGAAAACCTTGAAAAAAACTTTTCAACCTAAAAAAATAAACAGTCATACATTTTAATATATTGACGCTGAGCCTTACATACAAAACTTTCTTTTCCAAGGGAAAAGATATTCTTCCAGAAAAACAATATAATTCTTTCAGCTTGGAATGTGATTAGATATTATTGTAGAATATGTTCCTTCCTATATGTTAGAGAAAACTATATGTTTCATTTTGATTGAAATCACCTAGCTCTAATGGGGTCATGATTACAGAGATTGGGGGAGAGTGTTTCCAAAGAGGAGAAAAATGTAATGTAATTCGCATGACTAAATTGAGAGCATCAGCTCTGAGCTATTCCTGGAGGTAAGTTGCATGCCAGCATTTCTGTTAAAAGAAACAAAAAAGGAAGCTGAATATGGGATAGCAAGGCTTTTTATATATAATGAGCAGAACTAAAGAACCAGAACTGGCAGACAGAGGATGTTAAACATTTCACACTGCACAGAAATACAGTCCATTCAATAGATTTAAGTCAATCCCTTTGTTTAGGCAAAAGTTTATGATTCTGCTGCTTTTCGTACTTTTGATCCCTTGTCCAGAAAATTAGTTGCTGGCTAGGATTCCTTGGGGAAAACACAAAGAATTAAGTGGCAAAAATTTAAGTGATATCTTCTTTGCAAATTCAGTTCTGAGATGAGTTGGAAAATTCAGGCATTTGCAGATACAGATCTCTAGTTACACAGCCATAAATTGTAAAATGGAGAGGAAAAGCTATCAGCAGACACGCTTTGGTCAAAGTTGTGATTTGAACAGCTCCTAATAAAAAGTCTCTCAGGAGAACTCACTAAAGTTGAGGTACTAAAAATTGTCTAGTGAAAGGCAAAGAGTATATGTTGGGGGTCTGGATTTCAGACCTACAATGAGAATGCTAACTTTAAATCTGTAGTCCCTTTATAGTGTCAGATGGTATCAGTGTGGTTCAGCTGGTTTATCCCACCTTTATGATTCTCCCTAATCCTTCTAAAATGGGAAAAACCTATACAAAAGTAAGAGGCATATTGGAAGATTCATTTGCTCCCAATAGTTTGTAATAACTGAAACTTCCACAAAAATGAAAAATTGAATTAAAAAAGTTGAACTCATAAAAGTAGAGAGTAGAATGGTGGTTACCAGGGGCTGAGATAATGGATTCAGGGAAGGTTGAGAAGATGTTAGTCAAAGGATACAAAATTTAATTTAGATTGAAGGGATAAGTTTAAGAGGTCTATGGTAGAACATGGTGACGATAACTAGTAGCAATATGTTGTATTCTTGAAAAATGCCAAAAGAATGGATTTTAAGTGTTCTCAGCCAAAAAAAAAATGATAACTACGTGAGTTAATGCATATGTTCATTAGTTCAATTTAGCCATTCCAGAATGTATACACTGTATATTTCAAAATAGCTTGTTGTACACAATAAGTATATTCAATTTTATTTGTCAATTTAAAACTTAAAACATTTTTAAAAAGTATCCAGGACTCTAAACCTAAAGGAAATTTCAGGGTCCCTATGAAAAACTAACCCTAATCTCTCAAAAGTGTCCTGTAGTTGCTTTTCTTAATTTCCAAATCCCCTGTCTTTCTGGCTTGGCACATATTTCTAGGATGGGTAGAAGAAACTTTGATGTCCAGAGTTGCACATTCCTGAGGGAAATTATTACCTACAGAAGAAATAGAAGTAAACCACAGAGGTGATGGACTAGGACAAGGAATTCATGAGCAAAATAGCTACACAGAAGCAGTGACCAAAATCGTCAAGGAATAAGGACTTAATTCCTTTTCAAAACCAGTTCTCCACACCAGCATGCAAATGAAAGTATAATTTAAAGAGGGAAAATAGATTATATTTTAAAATAATGTTCTCATTAAAGTTTAATTTTAAGAATAGTTTTATAAAATCATCCCAAACTTAAATGTCTTTACATATAATCACAAGAGAATCTGAGGAACCTGTAGTAATTCAGTTATTATTGCTTTGTAACCAGTTCATAACTCTGGGGGGACCCAGCTCCAGGTTATTCTTGCTTCTTTAACTTATTTCATCCTGACCTAAATTAGTAGCCAACGTTTTCATATCCAGTTGTGATTGGTTTGGTATTCACTGTAATGAACTTCTAGTGTTTAGATGTGTGGTTTCTTTGATCTCAGTATGTTAGAGGTAGCAAAGTTTCCTGAATTCAAGATGTCCACATAATATTTTTATTGAGGAACAATCTCAGACTTGGAAAATATTGAGAGGGTTGTGTGCATATTTCAGTACCCCTGTTTGTTCTCAAGCATCAAATGATGAGTTATAGTCATTTCTTCAGTGGGAAACCGCACTCATTTCACGGTTAATATAAGAAGTCTTAGTGAAGAGCAGTTTGGAGCAGCTAGAAATATGATAGGCATGCGGAACAGGAACCGCTATCCAGGAAGTCTGGCTCAGAAGCCCCCTGAAGACATCTTCAGTAGTTTTTCAAAAGCTATGTGTATTAGTCTGTTTACATGCTGCTGATAAAGAAATACCCGAGACTTGGTAATTTATAAAGAAAAAGAGGTTTAATGAACTCACAGTTCCACGTGGCTGGGGAGGCCTCACAATCATGGTGGAAGGCAAAAGGCACAACTCATATGGTGGCAGGCAAGAGAAAATGAGAACCAAGCAAAAGGGGAAATCCCTTATAAATACATCAGCTCTTGTGAGACTTAGTCACCGTCACCGGAACAGTATGGGGGAAACCACCCCCATGATTCAATTATCTCCCACTGGGTCCCTCTCACAACACATGGGAATTATGGGAGCTACAATTCAAGATGAGATTTTGGTGGGGACACACACAAACCATATCAGTATCAAATATAAAAACTGTGCTTATGTGTTTCTAATTAAAGTCTCCTATCAAACAATATAATTTTATTTCTTTTTCTAATTTGCTATTCTGAAAAAATATATACTAACCTTCATGGCATTTTTTAAACCTCATTATTTAAAAGAAAGGAAATGAGGGGTAGGATAATGGAATTGGAAGCCAATCTCCAAAACCCAACAGCTGAGACATTATCTTGATAGAGGTCCTTCACGTAAGTGGTAGGAATTGAACTTGTCAGTACTCTTGACTTTTTTTTTAATTAAAAGTTAAATTAGGCCAGGCATTGTGGCTCACGCCAATAATCACAGCACTTTGGGAGGCTGAGGCAGGAGAATTTCTTAAGGCAAGAGTTCAAGAGCAGCTTTGGTGACATAGTGAGATCCCATCTCTACATACAATTTAAAACTTAGCTGGGCATAGTGGTGCATGTCTGTAGTCCCAGCTACTCAGGAGGCTGAGGCAGAAGGATTGCTTGAGTTCAAGAGTTCAAGGCTGCAGTTAGCTATGATCCCACTACCTCACTCCAGTCTGAGTAACAGAGTGTGACCCTGTTTCAAAAAAAAGAAAAAGAAAGAAAAGAAAGCAAGCAAAATTAGTTCTTTAAAAATCTTCCACTGTTTTTTTATGTTTACTAGAATTTAATTTTTGACTTTTCAGAAAACATCTTTTGGTTTAATACTTCATTAACATTACCTTGACCATTCACATTATTTCTATTCATAGTTACTGTCAGGCTGTTTTCGTATTGGTTATTTGAAGACTACCAGCTATCATCCCCCAAACAAATTATACCTTTTTTCTAGCATGCACTTTAATTGATGAATCACAGTATTTAAAAATGTGTTGTATCTGCCTTAAATTTGTAAACAAGCAAATAAAGCTCTCAAGCAGCCTTCAACATTCCTCACATGATATTGCAAAACTGAGATGTTTTATAGCTGCTCTGTGAGTCTTCTGTGCTAATGAAATCCAGTGGAAACAATGACAAATGACATCTCATATAATTCGTATTTTATATTATTTCTCCAAATATACCTAAGCCCTATTTGACAAACACCACAGTTGATAAGTTGTTCTATGGAAGAATCTAGACTCACGTGATCAAAGAAATATTACAATATATTATATTTGAATAATTTGAATTATATATTATATAATAATATAATATAATGATATTTATATTATTATTTAATATTATTTTAATATTAAATTATTTAATATTATATTATTAATATTATTATATAATATATGATATAATGATATATAATATATAATATAATGATATATATAATATATAATATAATGATATAACATATAATATTTAATCATTATATAATATATAATATAATAATTATAGAACTGTGAAAGGACATTTTAAATTACCTAGTGCAGATAGTTATGAAGTTTTCAAGAAGCTGTTAGTGTTTTTTTCTTTAAAAATCAAGTTTCAAAATTATTACTTCTTTAATTTTAGACTTACTGAAAAATTGCAATGAGTGCAGAGGATCCCCAGACTCCTCAAATTTTAACATTTTTCCACGTTTGCTTTATCCTTTTCTCTGCATGTACATGTGTTTCTGTGAAAATGTACATATATAATTTTGTTAAATGGAAACACCAGAGAATGGATTGCAGACATGATTCTCCTTAATTTCTACACACTTCAGTGTGGAATGTAAATACATAAAACCAGGATTGAACCCAGACCTGCAGGAATCTTAGTTCAGTACCCATTGTACAGGGGGTACTGAATTAATTCTTTAAATACTTATTTAACAGTTTTTAAGGAGGAGCTAAATGCTGTCTGTAGAAAAGTAAGAACCTATCAAATGCTAATGGCAGAAGTCATCCAGCCTCTGAGCAAAATAAAGGTCCTGTATTCGGCTGGACCCACTCACTTTAGGAATCAGTTTAAGCATCAAGAGTTACCTGAGCAAGCAGCAGGCTGCGGAGGGCAGAGTGAGAGGCAGCTCCCAGCCCCCACCAGAGAGGGCTTATTTCTGCCAACTTCAGCCAGTACCACGCTCTGAGAGAGACCCTTGGATAAGTTCTGTTTCTTCCATTTTAACATATTTTCAAGAATTTTCGTGTCCATCCCCCTTACGTGGGTGCAGAAGGGACCTACTTGGGAGGCTTGCTCCTTAATCCAGCTCTAGAGAAAACAAATAAAGCAAGGCAGTTGAGTGAGGCAGAGTGGGAAACCCCAAGCCCATCTGTGTGGCTTTCCCTTTGCAGCAGTTCCTGAGGCACCTCAGCAAATCCAGCAGGCCCAGAAGAAACTTTCTGACTTTCAGTCAAATGAAATTTCTACTAAACTTTATCAAGCCACTTGAAGACAATGAATTAGGTTTCTGTGGGGGGTTGGGGGAAAAGCATGACACAGAACATCGGTGGAGAAGAGAGTCACTCATCACAGCAGCCAGGTGACTCAACATCTGTGAAGGTTGTGTGGAAGAAACAGAAACCAAGAAAAGTGAAACATGAAACTGAAGAGTGGGGCCTGGTGCGGTGGCTCACACCTGTACTCGTAGCACTTTGGGAGGCTGAGGCAGAAGGATTGCTTGAGCCCAGGAGTTCGAGGCCAGCCTGGGCAAAAGAAACAAGTGCCCCATCTCTACAAAATATTTTAAAAATTAGTTGGATGTGGTGGCAAGCACCTGTAGTCCCAGCTATTTGGGAGGTTGGGGTGAGAGATCACTGGAGGCCAGGAGTTCGAGGCAGCAGTGAGCTATAATCACACCATTGCACTCCAGCCGGGGTGACAGAGTGAGACCCTGTTTCAAAACAAACAAACAACAAAAAAAATTGAGGAACTTTTTTAGTAAACAACTTGAAGGCTAAACTTGAAGTGGATTGCCAAACAATGCAGCATTAATTTAGAGTATATTCAGTAAATACTGTATGGAGTGCAGGCTTTAGACTTACTCCATACGTTTATCAACATCTTGGATCCTGAAACTATTAAAGAAAAAGTTTTTACAAATTTATTTTTATTTAAAATGGACTCCGAATTAGATCTTATGGTTGTAGGTAGAATTCTACATGTAAAATTAAGATCAATGACTTTGTTTTACTTGCTCAAAGAATTACAATATATATCTAAGTATTAAGTAAGTAGAGTGAGACTCCCAATAATTAATAGGATGAAAATTAATTTATAGTGAAATATAGGTGATTGTCTCTATGACTATTTAAGTATCATGCAGCTGCAGAAACAAATTTTAAAATGTCTGTACTTCAGTAAATAACATAAACATAATTTAAAAACCAAATGACAAGTGTGTTTAAAAAAAAAAGGTAAGCAATGTATTTGACAAACTCAAGTATTAATCTCAATACATAATGAGTTTCTGTACTACAATATGAAAAAATGAAAATTCCAGTAGCAAAGTTTGCAAAAGCCATATGAAAAGATACAATTGTTAGCATACGCATGAGAAAAATAAGCTTCTCTGGTAATCAAAGAGATGCAACTATAACTATTATACCATTTATTTTGAGTAAATTGCTCAAGAGTTTTGAAATTACTACACCCAATGTTAATGTACACACAGTACAGAGGACACTCAGCAACTGACAGGGGGAGTATAAGTTGATAAAGTTGTATAATCTTTCTGGAGGATAATTTTGTAATATGTTTCACACAAAGCATTTTAAATGTATGACTACTGATCCACTTCTAGAGACATATTTTAAAGAAATGACCACAGTTGCATGCAGACTGGTATAAAATATGGTTATGGTACAAGATGGTATGTCTAAGCAAACAGAATGGTTCAATTTAGAACCTGGGACTGGAGTCAGACCACTGGTTTGAACCCCATAGGCTCCCCTTTCCAGCTATGTAATATTGAGTGAGTTTAGTCTTTCTCTGCCTCAGGTTCCTTATCTGCAAAATAGAGATAATAATTGTATTTACCTCATAGATTCAAGGATTAAGTGTGTTATCACTGGTAAAATGCTAGAAGAGTGCCTACACACAGTGAGCATCAGATAAGTATTCAATATACTTAACAGCAGGTGATGGCAAGACTTAAGAGAGAATTTACATGCCCAGCAGTATAGGAATAGTGAAATAAACTTTGGACATCTACATCATGAAGACTCATGCATCCTTCATAAACTAGATTTGCAAGAAATATTTAAGCACATGGAAATTAAGGCCAATAATGTAACTGTATATAAAAAGTAGGCTACAAAATTGTACATGTATGTTAAACAGCATATGTTAATGAATTACATGAAGAAAAGAGAGAAATCAGGAATAACTACAATGATTATGGCTTGAGTTCCTAGGTGTATGGATGCTTCTAGTGTATGGAAGGGGAAGACTAAGGAGGGGAAGAATGGGCTGGAGCTAGGAAGTGGGGATGATGCTGGATGCCCTTTAGTCATTCAAATGGAGAAGTCAAGAAAATAGTTGAGTGTTAAGTTGGAGTTATTGGCAATATCAGGGCAAGAGATAGACATTTTAGGGTCTTCAGAGTGACCATCAGAAAGTAAAGATCAGCCAACCAGGGAGAATGTGCAGATAGAGAAAGCGGCTTGGGCTGAGCTCTGGGCCACTCTTATAAAAAGTGCTTGGCCATTCTCTCAGAGGTACAATGAAGAGCTGGTGCCAAAATCCTGCAGAAACTACTCCAAAAAATAAAGGAGTAGGGACTCCTTCCTAACTCTTTCTATGTAGCCAGCATCACTGTGATACCAAAATCTGGCAAACACACAACAACAACAACAACAAACTGCATGCCAACATCGCTGATAAACATAGATGCAAAAAAACCCCAATAAAATATTAGCAAACTGAATCCAACAGCACACCAAAAAGTTGATTCACTACTATCAAGTAGGCTTTAATTTTAAGATGCAGGGCTGGTGGAACATATACAAATCAATTAATGTGATTCACCACATAAACAGAATTAAAAAGAAAACCATACTATCATCTCAATAGATGCAGAAAAAGCTTTTCATAAAATACAACATCCCATCCTGATAAAAACCCTCAACAAACTAGGCATCAAAGTAACATACCTCAAAATAATAAGAGCCATCTCTGACAAACCCACAGTCAACATTATACTGAAAAAACAAGAGCTGGAAGCATTCCCCTTAAGAACTGGAACAAGACAAACAAGACAAGGATGTCCAATCTCACCACTCCCATTCAACATTGTACTGGATGTCCTAGCCAAAGCAATCAGGCAAGAGAAAGAAATAAAAGGCATCCAGATAGTAAAAAAAGAAGTCAAACTATTTTTCTTCACTGATGATATGATTCTATACCTAGAAAATTCTAAAGACTCCACAAAAAGGCTCCTAGAGCTGATAAACAACTTTAATAAAGTTTCGGGATACAAAATCAATGTATAAAAATCAGTAGCATTTCCAGGGCCGGGCGCAGTGGCTCACGCTTGTAATCCCAGCACTTTGGGAGGCCGAGGCGGGTGGATCACGAGGTCAGGAGATCGAGACCATCCTGGCTAACACGGTGAAACCCCGTCTCTACTAAAAATACAAAAAAATTAGCCAGGCGTGATGGCGGGCGCCTGTAGTCCCAGCTACTCGGGAGGCTGAGGCAGGAGAATGGCGTGAACCCAGGAGGCGGAGCTTGCAGTGAGCCGAGATTGCGCCACTGCACTCCCGCCTGGGCCACAGAGCGAGATTCCATCTCAAAAAAAACAAACAAAAAAAAATCAGTAGCATTTCTGTACACCAATAATACTCAAGATGAGAGCCAAATAACACAACACACACACACAAACACACACACATTTTAGGATTACATCTAACCAAAGAGGTGAAAGATCTCTACAAAGAGAACTACATAATACTGCTGAAATAAATTATAGATGACACAAACAAATGGGAAAATCATCCTATGCTCATGGATTAGAAGAATCAATATCATTAAAATGGCCGTACTGCCCAAAGCAGTCTATAGATTCAGTGTTACTCTTATCAAATTATCAATGTCATTTTTTGCACAATTAGAAAAAAACTATTATAAAATTAATATGGAACCAAAAAAAGAGCCTGAATAGCCAGAGCAATTCTAAGCAAAAATAACAAAGCCAGAGGCATCATATTACCCAACTCCAAACTATACTACAAGGCCACAGTAGCCAAAACAGGATGGTACTGGTACAAAAACAGACACAGACCAATGGAACAGAATAGAGAACCCAGAAATAAAGCTGCACATCTACCACCATCTGGTCTTCAACAAAAACAACAAGCAATGAGGAAAGGACTTCCTGTTCAATAAATGATGCAGGGTAACTGACTAGCCATATGCAGAAGAAAGAAACTAGACCCCTACGTTTTACCATATATACAAATTAACTCAAGATGGATTAAATACTTAAAGGTATGACCTAAAAATATAAACATCCTAGAAGAAAACCTAGGAAATATCATTCTGGATATCATCCTTGACAAAGAATTTTTGTCTAAGCCCCCAAAAGCAATTGCAACAAAAACAAAAATTGACAAGTGGGACCTGATTAAACTAAAGAGCTTCTTCACAGAAAAAGAGACTATAAACAAAGTAAACAGACAACCTACAGAATGGGAGAGAATATTCACAAACAATACATCCAACAAAGATCTAATATTCAGAATCTATAAGGAACTTAAAGAAATCAAAAAGCAAAAAACAAATAACCACATTAAAAAGTAAACAAGCAAAAAACCACCCCGTTAAGAAATCAACAAGCAAAAAAAACCCCATTAAAAAATGGGCAAAGGCCATGAACAGACACTTTTTTTTTTTTTTTTTTATACTTTAAGGTTTAGGGTACATGTGCACAACGTGCAGGTTAGTTACATATGTATACATGTGCCATGTTGGTGTGCTGCACCCATTAACACATCATTTAGCGTTAGGTATATCTCCTAATGCTATCCCTCCCCCACCCCACCACCCCACAACAGGCCCTGGTGTGTGATGTTCCCCTTCCTGTGTCCATGTGTTCTCATTGTTCAATTCCCACCTATGAGTGAGAACATGCAGTGTTTGGTTTTTTGTCCTTGTGATAGTTTGCTGAGAATGATGGTTTTCAGCTTCATCCATGTCCCTACAAAGGACATGAACTCATCATTTTTTATGGCTGCATAGTATTCCATGGTGTATATGTGCCACATTTTCTTAATTCAGTCTATCATTGTTGGACATTTGGGTTGGTTCCAAGTCTTTGCTATTGTGAATAGTGCCACAATAAACATATGTGTGCATGTGGAACAGACACTTCTTAAAAGAAGACATACATGTGGCCAACAAATATATGAAAAAATGCTCAACATCAGTAATTATCAGAGAAATGCAAATCAAGACCACAATAAGACACCATCTCACACTAGTCAGAATGGCCATTTGTTAAGATTTAAAAAAAAAATATGTTGGCAACGTTGCAGAAAAAAAGGGAAAACTTATACACTGCTGGTGGGAATGCAAATTAGTTCAGCCACTGTGGAAAGCAGCTTAGAGATTTCTCAAATAAATTAAAACAGAACTGCTATTTAATCCAGCAATCCCATTACTGGGTATATACACAAAGGAATATAGATCGTTCTATCAAAAAGACACATGTACTCGTCTCTTCATCACAGCACTATTCACAATATCAAAGATCTGGAATTAACCCAGATTCCCATCTATGGTGGACTGGGTAAAGAAAATGTGGTGTATATACACCACGGAATACTACACAGCTATAAAAGGAATAAAATCATGTTCTTTGCAGATACAGATATAGCTGGAGGCCTTTGTCCTGAGCTAACTACCACATGTTGTCACTTAGAAGTGGGAGCTAAACATTGGGTACACATGGACATAAAGGTGGGAACAACAGACACTGGAGACTGCTAGAGATGGAGTGTGGGAAGAGGCAAGAGATGGAAAACTACTTGTCAGGTACTATGTGCAATACCTGGGTCATGGGATTATTCTCACACCAAATCTTAATGACACACAATTTACCCATGTAACAAACCTTCACATGTGCCCACTGAGCCTAAAATAAAAGTTGAAAAAAAATAAATGATGCATTTCACCAAAATAAAAATAAAAAAGAAGTGCTCAGTCAATAATCTGCATGTCCCAGGGTCCCCAAAATAGCAAGAGATGTAAGCCTTAGTTTCAAATATATAATGAAATGTTTTATGTATCTGGACATTTTTGCCGCTAGAAATATAATTAGATGAATAAATCGAAGTGTGTTTTTAAAACTTGGGTTTTTATACCATTTCTCAACTATTTTTTAATTCATTTTGACAAAAGAGTACATTATTAAAATAGCTCAGAATAGCTTCAAGTTTCAAATTTTATACAATTCCTGTGATTATAGCAATTATCCTCTGAGAGGAAAGCCTGTCAATCAAGAAAAACAATAATAAACAATGTTTCTCATTAAAATACCTTTAAACTTCAAGGATACTGACTACATAATTTTCTATTTCTCTTCAGCAAAATTATTTGTTTGGATTAACATGTCTGTCTTAATCAGTTCTTCCAAAATCTTAGGAAAACTAGTTAGAAGTGATAGCTTAAAAAAGAAAAACACCTAGATTCTCAGGGTAAATTTTTAAAATAGAAGTAATTAAAGATGGATCTGACTAGTGACACCCCCAGGATGTATGTTTTTTTTAGTTTAGAGACTCCAGAGTATGATTTCTTTCTTTTGTAAAAATAAGACAAGCTCACTCTAGTGGTTTGTTAGGAAATGAGAAAGTGCTAAAAGCAGAAGGGAAATTTCTGTCTTTGCAAACTTACATATTACACTTCTTTATAGACCAGAGACTGCTTTCATTTCATATTCCAGACGGCACCCAGCAGCACCACAGCATCTGTAATGTTAGTGGACACACACGCAGACACACACACACACACACACACACACACACACACACAGTTGACCCCTGAACAACATGGGTTTGAATTGAACAGATCCACTTACAAGTGGATTTCATTCAACCAAACTCAGATAGAAAATAGAGTACTCGTGGGATGCAGTTTTCGTATGGGCAAGTTCCTCCCAGGCCAACTGTGGGACTTGAATATGCAGGAGATATTAGCGTGCTCAAGGGCAGGGAGAGGGGCTTGTCGGGGTGGTGGTTTTGTTCTGGAACCAGTCTGCAACGTACACTGAGGGACTGGTGTATATTTCTGTTGAAACTGTGACTCTGATAAGCAAGCAGTTTACTTCATGAAAACTCAACCAAAAGAGTGATCCAAAAGATAAAAATTAATCCAGTAGGTATAATTGCACCCAAGTATCCAATTCAAAGTCTTCTACATCTGCCCTCTCCATACTGCCTCCTGATCAGCCCTCACTCCCAGTCACTGCCCTTTTCCCGGTTTCATTAGAATGCTTGCCATTCTTCAAACATCTATGTTCCTTTGCCCACGTTTTATTAGTCTGAAGTCCCCTGGTACCCACTTGCTGCCCCATAAGTTCTTGCTGATGTTTTCAATCCACCCATGTTCATGCAAAATTTTTAAACATTACTTAACACTTTAAAGCATTTCTCCTTCAGGACAATTCAGTGAGAGACACACCAAATTTTTAAATTCAGATTAATTCCTGGAAACTTACTGTAATTTCCTGCCCTTACTTTATTGGGAACTGACAGCTGGTTTCTCAATTACTTTAATATCATGCTCCTTCAAAATTGCTCTATCACAAAAGACAACAAATGGTCATCATTGTTAATGAAAGTGCTATTCACCACTACACTCTTATATTCTTGCATATAGTTCTCCATCCAACAAATACTTACGTTTCTCCAACTGTCCTTTAAAAAGCAAATAAAAAAATAAATAATATTTTTCTTGACCTTCACTCCCTGTCAAACTGCCACTA